>NC_000010.11:49234004-49385519 GCF_000001405.40 Homo sapiens
GGAAGAAAAGGCTCTCCCTCACAGTAGAAAACAATTAATAAAAGTATAAGAAATTTTGAAATTAGAAATGTCATCACTTGGCAATCATCGTAACAATAAATTCATTCAGACAGGAATCATCATTTGACGCTAAAACGAGTGGATAAAATGTGAGGTATAACGGGATGTTTACATCAACTCATAGTGTTTCCCCACAAGATATTCATCATTTCAAAGAGGAGAAATAGTAACTTCACACTTTCCTAACTGATCAAAGTTAACATCACCAAGAATGGCACAACCTAAAATCAGATGCCTCCTTATATGATATGCTGAGAAGAACACAGCATCATTTCTGCAATATTCCCGCCGAAAATCCATAACCTAACTCGAACTATAAGGAAACATCAGGTCTCCCAAACTGAGGGACATTCTATAATATTCAAAAATGTCAATGTCATGGAAGACTGAGGAATTATTCTGGATGAAAAGTAGCTAAAGAGACTTAACAACTGAGTGCAGTGCATGATTCAGGACTTTTTTGCTACAAAGAATGCTAACCAGTGAAAGCTTAATAAAGCCTGTATATTTTAAAAATAGTATTATAGCCAGGAATAGCTATATAATTTGTGGGGCCCAGTGCAAAATGAAAATGTGGGTCCCTGGTTCAAAAATTAAGAATATCAAAATGGCAACTGAGAAAACATTAAACCAAACACAGGACCCTTCTGAGTACAGGCCCATGTGCACAGGCGACGTGATCATGATTGTATGTTAATGTTAATGTACACTATACATTAATACACTATAATACCATAATGTTAATTTCCTGGTTGTAACCATTGGACTCAAGTTATACAGGGGAATGTCTTTGTTTTTAAAAAATACACACTGTCATATTTAGAGGTAAAGGGGCATCATGTCTACACCTTATTCTCAAATGGTTTAGACAAAATAACTTGTGTGTGTACATGGGAGGGAAGGATGAATAGAGCAAGTGAGGTATAACATTAGTATTTGGACACTCTAGATTTAGGGTATATGGGAATTCTCTGTACTAGTCTTCCAACTTTTCTGTTAAGTCTAAAATTATGTCAAAATGTTTAAAAACACACACACACATAGAAGACATTATCTTGCTGGTTGTGATGATGGCATGTTGGTTATGCCTTTAAAAAATAATTGTCTATTTAAATTAGTTATTTTAAATATATATATGAAACATACACAGATACTCCTTGACTTACAATGGCGTTACATCCTGATAAACTCATCATGATCTTGAAAATATCATACGTCAAATTGCATTTAATCCACCTAACCTACTAAACATCATAGCTTAGCCTCGCCTACCTTAACTGTGCTCAAAACATTTACATTAGCCTATGGTTGGGCAAAATCATCTAACACAAAGTCTGTTTTATAATAAAGTGTTGGATATCTCATGTAATTTATTGAATACTATACTGAAAGTGAAAAATAGAATAGTTGTATGAGTACTTGAAGTGCAGTTTCTACTGATTGTTTACTGCTTTTGCACCATGAAGTCAAAAAATTATGAGTGAAACCATCATAAGTTAGGGATTATCTGTATTGCAAAAAGTAATTGTGCAATCAAGATGATGGGGGAGAATTTATTACATTCTCTGCCTCTGTGTATGTTTGAAATTTTTTATAATAAACAGCTATTTTTTAAGTAATTCTAAATTTCATCTACTTAATGTCATCATTTTTGTGTATTCTCTTCTGGTCTTTAGAGTGATGCATATATTTTATGTACACACCATTTAAATCCTGCCCATTTTGCTTTTCTTGCTACCACAGTCTTCATAATTGGCTCTTAAATGGCTGCATATTAGCTCATAAACCAGATAATATAAGAAATCATTCCTTTATTGTTGAGGTTGTAGCTTGCTTATACAGTGCACTCAAATATATATTGCCTTTCCCTATTTGTGATCTTTTCTTAGGAAAGAGTTCCAGGAGTGGGATTTCTGGATCGCAGACAGGATCATGTTTATGAACCTTAAAGCATTTTGCCAAATTGCTTTCCAAAAAGTAATACCAATTTACACCATATGAGACTAACCATTGGGAATTAGCATTAATTTTTTCACTGGTGCTGGGGTTGTGTTAGATGCATCTTTCTGATTCCTCTTTTGTGAGTTGTTCTGTCTCCATGCCTCTGTCGGGGGGTTAATGTTCTTCAAAATCTACATGAGCTCTTTGAGTAATAAAGATATTACCTTTCATATCATGTTTGCCTCAAATATTTTTCCAAGAAACTCACTTTAAATGGGAGAAGAACATGTCGCTATGTTTTAGAAAGTAGATAGCCATTATGCACGCAGCCTCTCACATTCCCCCTATAAATATCTTGGTGAAGTGACCATTTGTTTAGAAAACAAAATAGTTTATGTAGAACATAAAGTATTATGAAAGGACTTACTCTTGAGATAATTTACCAAAGACTGTGAAACAGACCAAAGACCCAGGATATTTCTTCATGATCAAAATAATTAGCTTTTAAAATGGCTGGTGTGGTCTTTGTGCTGCTTTCTTAACCATCAAATCAGACCATCTCATGATTAGTAAAAACAGGTCATTATGGCAGCCAAATAAAGCCAGCCCATAGGAAAAATGAAGAGACGGCTTCTGTTTCTACAGGAAAAACGTAGGTCTGCTTCTCCAGGGTGGATTTCTAAATAGCTCTACCTGAGACTGACAGAAAAGAGTGCCAGGGTGGGGTTGGACCCCTCACTTCCTCCCAATAAGCAGTCAATGTTAGGTGGTGAAGTCCAGTAGGTGGTTCATGGTTTGGCCAGACCACCATCCAGTGAATGGCCCTCCCTCCCTGGCATCTAGGTCTCCTGCTCCAGGGCTCACCTGCCCAGGCCCTGCCCCTTCCTCGCCATTTCTTATCTCTTGGACACTTACTGGGTGATGCATAACCAAGTGAGTGCTGGCTGGGGAGCAGAGCTGTCAGCTGAATGGTGTCTTTAGTGGGGTTCCTCAATGGGTGGAGCAGGGAGCCTGCTAAAGTCAAGGAATCCCTTGACCTTCTCCAATTCCTCTACCAACAACAAGGTTTTCCAGAGGCAGAAGCAAACTTCCACCATTTGAACAGCAATGTTGGTTCTGGTCAGAGCCAGCTGAACATTCTACTATGAACATTTTCTTGTGCTGCCTTCTGGCCCTTTAGAATCTAGTGTCCTCCCACCAAGGTACACAAAACGTCTGGATCCTAACTCTGCATTCATTTGCCTCCTGGATACACAGCACAACTACATTGTCCAGCCCCCCTGCAATTAGGTGAAGCCATGTCATTAAGTTCTGGCCAAAGATGATGGTAGAAGTGGTGCACACCAGCATCTGCTAGGTCCCTGAAAGCTCTCATGTGACCCTCCATGGGCTTGCTATCTCTGGTTATTTGCTTTTTTGGCTGGTCACATAGAGAGGATACAGCAGAGAACTCAGAGCTAAGGGGACAGTAGGGCCATTGGCTGGAAGGGCCTGGATCCCCGAATGATTGAATGGAACCCAGGTGCACCCCTGCATGTTGTACATTATTGCCTCACCGCAGGTTAACTATGGTGATAATTGACACCTGTCTCTGCCAAGGTCTATAGTGCCCTGAGATAACATGCAAGAAACTGAGCCAGGAATCTCTTATATTCTGGGAGTTGAGAAATATTTTAAGCACCCCTTCCCCACCAAGTCATTCTGGAGGAAGATGAAGACCTTGATTTGACAGATTTGTCATCTCTTTCTTTCTTCTCTTTTTACAGACACCAGGATGGAAGGGATGGGCTTTTGCTTCCTTTTCTTGTGTCGTAGAGACTACGATTGTATTACATCATGAATTTCCCTGCCCTGTGTCTTTTTGTAACATTGATGTTCATGTTGGCTGGGCCTGCCTGTTACCACATTGATAGGAGCTTCAAGAACTTACAAGATGCTTTCTCTCTCTACAAATCTTGGCTCTCAAGACTATTGTCCTGCTAGGGACACAAGAATGCATTAATCCAAAAAGTCACAGCTGAGTAGTGGCATAGGGTTCTAGCTAATAACTACCTTTCTCCTACCATGTGTGCAGTTGGTCCCCAAGCCAACTTCCTTCTCACTGGACTTTCTAGGAGGCTAGAAACTACATTTCCCAGGCTCCATTGCAGACAGAGTTCCACATGTAACCTAGTGGCCATCAAGTTGACACACTGGAAAATGAAGTGAAGAGCAAGAGGCCCTGGCCACACCATGGGACATGATACCTTCCAGAAAGCTTGACTGCAGACGTATCTGACTCTTCTCAGCAGCTGAGATGGAATTCTGAGTGCCCTGGTGCCATGGTGCCAAGCAGTGGGTGGTGGCAGCAGTGATATTTTGCTAGAACAGTTCTGTGTATGCTTGGGCAATTTTCTTGGCTGTGTGAATGCCAAGTTCATTCCCTGGTTTCCCTGGAGATCCTGTAAGCAAACTAATATGATTTTTAAATTCTCTTTCCGATTATTCTAACTAGTATGGATTTTGTTGCCTGCTAGTAAAAACTCTGTCCAACATAGGTGGGGAGCCCATGGCATGAAGAGTTCCTAGAGAATAAAATACATCAAAAATATGATTATCTTTAAACATGCTCTTTTTTTTTTTTTTTTTTTTTTGAGACAGAGTCTTGCTCTGTCCCCCAGGCTGGAGTGCAGTTACACGATCTCGGCTCACTGCAAGCTCTGCCTCCCAGGTTCACGCCGTTCTCCTGCCTCAGCCTCCCGAGTAGCTGGGACTACAGGTGCCCGCCACCACGCCCGGCTAATTTTTTTTTATTTTTAGTAGAGACGGGGTTTCACTGTGGTCTTGATCTCCTGACCTCATGATCCGCTCGCCTTGGCCTCCCAAAGTGCTGGGATTACAGGCGTGAGCCACCACGCCCAGCCTAAACTTGTTCTATAAGCAAGCCAAGGGAATTTACAAGCATCTTGCTGAAATTGTGAGGAAGTGATATCAAAAGTTTCTAGAGAAGAAGGAATGGTAAATGGAAATTAATTGCAAACTTCCTGCTATTACAAATGTATGATGTGTAACAGGCCAATGCTTTTGTCTTTATTTAGTATGCTGCCTTTGTTTTATTGCATCAAAGATTTTGAAAAAATATGTGTATAAGTGCTTCATGTGTTCATTTATGACCTTGGTCTTCAACCCTATTTTTCTCATAAGCTTCTCAACAATGGGTTCCCTTACTACTGGGATTTCCAAGAAATCACCATCAGGGCTAGGCACAGATTCCTGGACATATGTTGTCAAGATGATGCACCTAGCAATTAACTAACTATGACCTGGTAATTGTAGCCATTATCTTGAGCAAGCAGGGAGAGGATGGACCAGAAAATCTTAAGGTTTTTTCCAGCCATAGCATTTTACCACTTTATAAATGTAATTTCTAAGACATTGAAGTCTTCTTTCTCCAACATATTGCAAGCTACTAGCTGGCCAGGAAACCCTTCTTAGACAGCTCCAGTACTCCTCAGCATATTTTCTTTCACCCATAGTCCACATAAAAGCCCCAGAAAAGGGATCTGGGAGCCAAGGGGATTGGTCTGAGCACTGAGATGAGTAATTGCTCTGGTTTCCCAGCATGGTTTCCCAGCCACAAGGAAGAAAAGGAAGGCAGGTGAGCCCTCCACAGCTAGTCTATGTGTTAATCCCACGAAGGGTGACAGGAAAAGGACAACTGGGTGCAGTTGGGAGGAGGCCATGGCTTTGCCGAATCCTCAGTCTCAGGTTCTGCAGTCAGCTCCCAGCACCAGCTTGGCAGCTGAGAACCCACATGAGTCACTTTATGTTCCTGAGCCTGTTGGGTTTTCTTGAAAATTAACAGGAATCAGGGGATGTGAGGGCTCTGAAGAGCTCAGCCCTGAGTGATGGCTCTTGCTTGTGGCCAAGGGCTTGGCGAGAAGCAGCCCATCTGCAGGGCTCTCCTGAGCACCCTCGCTGGGCTCTACACGCTCGGGTATATTCAAAGGATTTGGACTGCAGGTTTCTTGGAGCCAAGAGATCAACCATCTGACAGAGCCAGGGCTCAGATTCTCAGCTGCCGAGGGTTTGAGGATCCATGCAGCAACCCAAGCCATCACATGGGGATGAGCCTTCCTTACAGGCCCTCGGTGGTGTTGTGTGGGGATTAAATCTCCACCCCTCATCCTAGTGTTCCGGGCTTCATGAGCTGCTCAGGGTGTCCTCGCCCAACTCACCCTTCTTGCCATGTTCTCCCTTACTCCAGTCACAGTGGTCTTCTCTCAGGTCCCCCTGCATTCTGAAGGCTTCCCTTCCCCAAGGCATCTGCACACACCATCCCTCCCTTTAGCACATACTTCCCCCAACTCCCTCCCCATTTGTGTTCCTATATTCTTTAGGTGTCTGCTCAATGAGGGCAAAGACTTTGTCTCTCTTGTTCACTGCCAATTCCTTTACTTCTTAAGCTGCCTGGTTCACAGTAAGTGCTTAGTAAATATGGATTAAGAAATGAAAAAAATATTGAATAGTGCAGATCCCAACCAATTTGATTCATGAGCATATAAGGGAAATAGTGAGAGTTTCAGTTTTGCGTTTTCCTTACCTTTCTACTTCTAGGCTCCTACGCTAAAGGCAGGAAATGTGTAGAGTCCTAGTGGATTGCTTTGATCCAAAACTTTGTTTAGTATCATTTCCCATGGGCTTATTTTGTCACCTTTGGAGGGAAAGTCTTGTCTGTGCCAGGGCAGTAATCAAAAGCTTAGAGCTAAAAAGTATTAAGCTTTATTTTATTCCAGGTTCTCTTCATTTAATATTTCGGATCCTTACAAAAGCCTGGCTGGTTTTTCTATCCTTAATTGATCACTGAGGACTGGAGCTTCAGCAGCATTAAGAAATTTGCTTAGGGTCAAAATTCTTGTAAGTTGCACAAGCAGATTTTGACTTCAAAGCCAACATTCAGTTCTGGGTGACCCGGTAGGTCATAAATCGAAGGTGTTCCTGGGAGTGTCACGGGGTCATAAATTATAGCAATCCCTTGCAGGATGCCTTACTGGGGGGATTGGGTGGGTTGATGACAAGGTTCTAAGAAATGAAACCTCCAGCAGCTCCAGCCTACACCAAGTGTGGCCTGAGCCCCAAGCCACCATGTTAGGTAACCCTGGGCAAGGCTTCCGGCCTCTCCTGACTTCCCCAACCTCATTTGCAGGAGAGAGAACATAGCATCCAAAGGCAGCTGACAGCTCTGGAGTGGTGAGAGAATTAACTTATAAATGATTGGGATGCACTTGGCCAATGTAAAGTGCTATATAAATGGTTCATAGTCACAAGCACCCTATCAGGCATCCAGGGCTACTTCTGAGCCTGTGGTCCCTGTGTAATGATCCTGAACCTTACAAAGTGCTTTACAAATAGTAAATTATTCATTCACAGGACACCCAAGGGAAGCAAGAAAGTATTCCTCTTACTTTAGATGAGTTGAGATCCAACATTGGCTGGGGCTGCTCAGCCAGGAATCCTTGCAAAGCCAAGTTTAGATCCCTGTGGCTCCCTGGGTTGGGACAGGCTGGGCCCAGCTGCTCCAACCTAGGAGGGCCAGGCTCAGGACTGAGAGCAAGGCTGTGCTCTTGTGGGCTCTGGTCAGGCGTTTGTCTGTAAGACTCTGGAACTGAAGGCTGTGGTTTGCGTCAGTGAGAAGCACAGAGAAATAAACAAATAGAGCCTGGGAGTGGAAAATGCACAGTGACTTCTTGTTGTCAAGGTACTTGGCCTTGGAGTAGGTTAGACACTTCCAGGAGAGGGACCAGCAGCCATGGAGAAGAGATGCAGTGGGGCGGGAGGAAGGAGAGGACACTGAATTTGGCCATGTCCACGTAAGGTCCAGGGATGTCCTCCTCTTCCAGGACAGTCCCAAGTACACCAGGCCTAGAGAGAGGCCCTTTCTCAGTCAGGGTTCACACCTGACTTTAGTCAGGGCAGCAGAACTCAGGACAGCAGGAGAGGCCTCCCTTGTCAAGAGTCAGGAAAGAAACCCTATTCAGAGAGGCTGCCACACAGGGTCAGGTCCAGGGGCCTGAGGATGAGGGTAGTTTGGCCAGGAAAGGCTAGGTGTTAGAGCACTTCATACTGCAGGGGCCTGAGACTCCTGGTCCCTTCGTCTCAGTTCTGACACTGTCTCCCCTCTCTGGTACCCGAGAGAAGTCCAGAACCCACCTGGGTTTCAGGCCTCCTGAAAGTGGGAATCAGAAGGCCTGTCCACTGTCTTCCCAAGAAGCAATGAGATGCCTGCAGCCTCTGTGTGTCAGACATGACCTGGGTTCTCCACTGCATGTGGTGCTGCAGATACAAGCCAGAAATCAGGAGAGAGGAGAGGACGTGGGGCTTTTGCAAAGCAGAGCCCTGAGTTAATTGAAGATGTTAATAACCGGCTTCCCTACCAACTCACTGCGTGACATAGGACATACGTCTTAACCTCGTCCCCAACGAGAAAACAAAGATAACCATCACTATCGCTTTGCCACCTGTGTGGAGGGCAGATGCCCTGACATGCTAATGGGCGCATGAGTTATGTATCCCAGTGTCGGGTCAGTCCCTGGTGCTAGGATGGCACTTATGTCCCTCTTTGGGGGCCCAGGGGTGGCATTTGGCGGATCTAACGGCCAACAATCTCAAGACCTCAAACCCACCCACGGTCAGTTAACAAGCGTCTAGCAGGTGACATTTTTATTGTTGTTTTCCCCTAAAGGCTGGGGCTGGAAGGCAGCCAGCGCTGTGTCCCTGGGCTCAGCATCTCACACGCATTATCTCACGTGTCCTCATTGCAGAGCAGGAGCTGAGGGTCAACGAGCTGGCTGGTATCCCGGGGCTGGCTTCATGACTTGTCCTCCTGCTCCCAGCCCAGTGCCCCTGCACTCTGCCCGGCAGCCCACAGGGACCAGAGAAGCAATGGCAGAGCCAGTGGGCAGAAGGAGCAGACAGAACGGAAGGTGGAGTGGCCATGAAGACAGGATGGGCACCCACTCTCCTGCCTGGCAAGGGGAGGGGAAGGAAAGAAAATGCCGAGGCATCAGATTGTTTTCAGATGAAACAAAGCTTCAGGTGAGAAAACCATTTAACAAGACCAAGAAGACCATTCCTGACCGTTTCTGAACTGCACATGCATTGAGTGTCTCACGGGCTTCAGGGAGAAAGCGGTGAGCGAGCAGGCAGGCCCTGCCTTCAGGATGCCTCAGGAGACCGGGGAGATGGACAGTGCAGAGCTAAGGCAGAGACAAACGAGTAAACCAGTGGATCGTAAAGGTGGGGAGCACACTGTAGAACACAGAAGGCGCCTAGCGTTAGGGAAAACCACTTTAGAGAGGGACATCGCAGCTAACAAAAGAAGCCATTTGCAATGACAATGTAGCATTCATAAGACTTCACAGTGAGAGTCACAGGCATCAGAAGATAGAGAGCCCTGCAAGGAGTGTGGAAGAAAGGACTGGAAGGGGAAATCGTGACTGCAATAGGTTTTAACACATGCCTTCTAACTGCTGAAAAATCAAGTAGTTAACAAAAAAGGGACATAGAAATTATGAGAATTATAATTAATAAGATTGGATCAACAAGTAGAATCTAGACTCTGTGCCCTATAGACAATACTCCTGGTTATTGAGCATCCTGAGACATTTATAAAAGAAGAAATAAAAACCTAAAAACCAGAAATTTTCCATGCAATATTCTAAAACAGAAATACAATAATAAAAGTTGATAACAAAGTTTAAACGAGCAGATGAGATCTTTCACTTCCCCTGGAAATTAAAGAGAAAAGGGAAGCGTGTTCTTAACTAACTCTTGAATCATAGAGGTCACAGTTGCAATTACAGACTCTTGGGAATAAACAGTAGAAACAAAAACACTGGATTTCAAAGAATATGGAGTGTGGCCCGAAGTAGAAGCAGAAATAAGTTCATAATCTGAAGAGCTTTCATTATATTAAAAAGTATGAGTCAAGAGCATGAGAAGTTAGCAGGAAAAAGAAAACAAAAGCAAGGCTAAGTAGGACAGGTAGAGGGAAACAACAAAGATAAAAGCAAAAATCAATTCCAAGAGCAAATCAAATAGAATAGTTGGAAAACGCCCCATGCTAAGAGGACGTCATCAATAAATCCTCCACAAACTGGCTTTTCATGTGTGTGGGGGTGGGAGCGGGGGATGGAGAGAGGGAGCTGGAGGAGAATCACTGCAAAATAGAGAAATATCTAGTAAAGCTAACCAAAAACAAAGTGGTGGGGGGGGAGAGTTATACAAATAAAAATAACCAGTCATGTTATGTGGGATGTAACCCATGTAAGAGAATTACAAATATTATTATGAAAGCTTGTATTGAAATTTATTGCAAAAAGTGCAAACATACAGATAAATTGCTTAATTTTCTGGAAAAAGAGCAAATGGTTAAAACTGGCTTTAGAAAATTAGGGACCTGGGAGTCAGGGGATAGACAATATTCCCATCAAAAGATTTTTTTTAATTTACTTTACTTTAATTGTAAAGTATCTTCACAAAGATGACCCATGGCCACAGGGCCATGCCTGGATGTCCCCTTTCACATTTCCAAGCCACAGTCAGTCATCATGCCAAAGAAACTCTCCCAGAGGATGAAAAATACGGTTAGTCATCCTATTCAATTTCGGAAATGAACATAAATCAGATATCAAAACTTGACCAAGACACCACGAAAAAGCTACGATGGACCAATTTCAGCTTCATGTATGAATGTGAATGCAAAACTCAGGGCCAGCTTCATGAATATGCTGTCTGTGCAGTGACACAAGAGGGGCTCTGTACTTGGTTTAATACTCTGCCATCACCATCTTGAAATTCTTAATCTTTGAACAAGAGGTTCCACATTGTCGTTTTGCTCAGGGATTGGCAAACTACATACCCAGTTCTGGCAAAAATACTAGCAAATCAAATATGATAACACAATAAAATAACTTCTACTTTGATCAAGGTGATTTTATTTGATTAAAAATTAGGAAACCTAGTAATACATATTTGGCATGGATTATAAAATGATGATGTTAACAGATGCTGAAAAGACATTTGATGAAACCACACACAAAGATAACATTCTTTTCACTTTAAAAAATTGAATGGTAGATTCTGGAAGAGCAAAAGACAACCTTCCAAAGGAATATTTAATCCATTAATGCACAGCTTCATTACCTTTGAAATAAAGCGTATAAAAAGAGACACACTGCTATCATCAGCATTAGCGAACACTGAATCAGAAGTTCAGGCTGGTACAGTACGGTGTGGGGTGACAGATGTGGAATGATTCCAAGAAAGGAGAGACAGCATTGTGTTATTTGCAGACAATATGGTTATAAACTAAGAAGACTCAAGAGGTTTGACCTAAAAAACTGTTTAAATCAATAAGATTATCAGGTGCAAGAGAAATAAACATAAATCAAGAATATCACTAAACACCAGCAATAATTACTAAAAAGGCCTAATAACAATGACTTCTTCAAAATGGATTTTTAAAGCATAAAATAACCAGAAATAACTATTATAATACATGTGTGTAATCAACATAAAGAAATGACAAAAGTTTATTGAAATATATAAAGTAATATTTTAATAAATGGAGAAAAGAAATTGCAAGTATATTGCAAAGTTGCCGTAGGGTCTCTGAAATAGGCACAAATAAATGAATGTTCATTGATTTCCAATTAAATAGTTACTACAATTACTATCAATATACCAGTGGAATTTCTTAATGAAACAAATATTTATGAAATAATTCTAAACTTTAAAAAATAAACAAGGGAGAAAAGTTGGAAGTATTTTTTTAAATGGGGAATTGTTCTGCCAAATTTTAAAGTGTATTCTAAAGTTCTAACAATTAAGTGTTTTATTGGCGGAATAATTTGCAAACAGATCAATGCAACAAACTAAATAGGCACAGAAAGAAATCTCAAAAAAATATAAGAACTAACAAGATGACAAAGGGAACATGACACCCAAGGGGAATGGAATAGATTAGTCATCAAATGGTATTTTTATTTATAAAGGAAACCTTAGATAAAAGAAGTAAATACAATTCAATAATTACTGATACTGGGACAGAGGAGGCACCTCTAAGATTAGCAATAAAAATACCACAAAGAGGGGGAGGAGCCAAGATGGCTGAATACGAACAGCTCCAGTCTACAGCTCCCAGCATGAGCGACGCAGAAGATGGGTGGTTTCTGCATTTCCATCTGAGCTTTGAAGAGAGCAGTGGTTCTCCCAGCATGCAGCTGGAGATCTGAGAACGGGCAGACTGCCTCCTCAAGTGGGTCCCTGACCCCTGACCCCCGAGGAGCCTAACTAGGAAGCACCCCCCAGCAGGGGCAGACTGACACCTCACACGGCTCCAACAGACCTGCAGCTGAGGGTCCTGTCTGTTAGAAGGAAAACTAACAAACAGAAAGGACATCCACACCAAAAACCCATCTGTACATCACCATCATCAAAGACCAAAAGTAGATAAAACCACAAAGATGGAGAAAAAACAGAGCAGAAAAACTGGAAACTCTAAAAAGCAGAGCACCTCTCCTCCTCCAAAGGAACGCAGTTCCTCACCAGTAACAGAACAAAGCTGGACGAAGAATGACTTTGACGAGCTGAGAGAAGAAGGCTTCAGACGATCAAATTACTCCGAGCTACAGGAGGACATTCAAACCAAAGGCAAAGAAGTTGAAAACTTTGAAAAAAATTTAGAAGAATGTATAACTAGAATAACCAATACAGAGAAGTGCTTAAAGGAGCTGATGGAGCTGAAAACCAAGGCTCGAGAACTACATAAAGAATGCAGAAGACTCAGGAGCTGATGCAATCAACTGGAAGAAAGGGTATCTGTGATAGAAGATGAAATGAATGAATGAAATGAAGCGAGAAGGGAAGTTTAGAGAAAAAAGAATAAAAAGAAACGAACAAAGCCTCCAAGAAATATGGGACTATGTGAAAAGACCAAATCTACATCTGATTGGTGTACCTGAAAGTGACAGGGAGAATAGAACCAAGTAGGAAAACACTCTGCAGGATATTATCCAGGAGAACTTCCCCAATCTAGCAAGGCAGGCCAACATTCAGATTCAGGAAATACAGAGAACGCCACAAAGATACTCCTCGAGAAGAGCAACTCCAAGACACATAATTGTCAGATTCACCAAAGTTGAAATGAAGGAAAAAATGTTAAGGGCAGCCAGAGAGAAAGGTTGGGTTACCCTCAAAGGGAAGCCCATCAGACTAACAGCGGATCTGTTGGCAGAAACTCTACAAGCCAGAAGAGAGTGGGGGCCAATATTCAACATTCTTAAAGAAAAGAATTTTCAACCCAGAATTTCATATCCAGCCAAACTAAGCTTCATAAGTGAAGGAGAAATAAAATACTTTACAGACAAGCAAATGCTGAGAGATTTTGTCACCACCAGGCCTGTTCTAAAAGAGCTCCTGAAGGAAGCACTAAACATGGAAAGGAACAACCAGTACCAGCCGCTGCAAAATCATGCCAAAATGTAAAGACCATCGAGACTAGGAAGAAACTGCATCAACTAATGAGCAAAATAACCAGCTAACATCATAATGACAGGATCAAATTCACACATAACAATATTAACTTTAAATGTAAATGGACTAAATGCTCCAATTAAAAGACACAGACTGGCAAATTGGATAAAGAGTCAAGACCCATCAGTGTGCTGTATTCAGGAAACCCATCTCACGTGCAGAGACACATATAGGCTCAAAATAAAAGGATGGAGGAAGATCTACCAAGCAAATGGAAAACAAAAAAAGGCAGGGGTTGCAATCCTAGTCTCTGATGAAACAGACTTTAAACCAACAAAGATCAAAAGAGACAAAGAAGGCCATTACATAATGGTAAAGGGATCAATTCAACAAGAAGAGCTAACTATCCTAAATATATATGCACCCAATACAGGAGCACCCAGATACATAAAGCAAGTCCTGAGTGACCTACAAAGAGACTTAGACTCCCACACATTAATAATGGGAGACTTTAACACCCCACTGTCAACATTAGACAGATCAAAGATACAGAAAGTCAACAAGGATACCCAGGAATTGAACTCAGCTCTGCACCAAGTGGACCTAATAGACATCTACAGAACTCTCCACCCCAAATCAACAGAATATACATTAGTTTCAGCACCACACCACACCTATTCCAAAATTGACCACATACTTGGAAGTAAAGCTCTCCTCAGCAAATGTAAAAGAACATAAACTATAACAAACTGTCTCTCAGACCACAGTGCAATCAAACTAGAACTCAGGATTAAGAATCTCACTCAAAACTGCTCAACTACATGGAAACTGAACAACCTGCTCCTGAATGACTACTGGGTACATAATAAAATGAAGGCAGAAATAAAGATGTTCTTTGAAACCAATGAGAACAAACACACAACATACCAGAATCTTTGGGACACATTCAAAGCAGTGTGTAGAGGGAAATTAATAGCACTAAATGCCCACAAGAGAAAGCAGGAAAGATCCAAAATTGACACCCTAACATCACAATTAAAAGAACTAGAAAAGCAAGAGCAAACACATTCAAAAGCTAGCAGAAGGCAAGAAATAACTAAAATCAGAGCAGAACTGAAGGAAATAGAGACACAAAAAACCTTTCAAAAAATTAATGAATCCAGGAGCTGATTTTTGAAAGGATCAACAAAATTGATAGATCGCTAGCAAGAAAAATAAAGAAAAAAAGAGAGAAGAATCAAATAGGTGTAATAAAAAATGATAAAGGGGATATCACCACCAATCCCACAGAAATACAAACTACCATCAGAGAATACTACAAACACCTCTACTCAAATAAACTAGAAAATCTAGAAGAAATGGATAAATTCCTTGACACATACACTCTCCCAAGACTAAACCAGGAAGAAGTTGAATCTCTGAATAGACCAATAACAGGAGCTGAAATTGTGGCAATAATCAATAGCTTGCCAATCAAAAAGAGTCCAGGACCAGATGGATTCACAGCTGAATTCTACCAGAGGTACAAGGAGGAAATGGTACCATTCTTTCTGAAACTATTCTTATCAATAGAAAAAGAGGGAATCCTCCCTAACTCATTTTATGAGGCCAGCATCATGCTGATACCAAAGCCGGGCAGAGACACAACCAAAAAAGAGAATTTTAGACCAATATCCTTGAGGAACATTGATGTAAAAATCCTCAATAAAATACTGGCAAACCGAATCCAGCAGCACATCAAAAAGCTTATCCACCATGATCAAGTGGGCTTCATCCCTGGGATGCAAGGCTGGTTCAACATATGCAAATCAATAAAGGTAATCCAGCATATAAAGAGAACCAAACACAAAAACCACATGATTATCTCAATAGATGCAGAAAAGGCCTTTGACAAAATTCAACAACTCTTCATGCTAAAAACTCTCAATAAATTAGGTATTGATGGGACGTATTTCAAAATAATAAGAGCTATCTATGACAAACCCACAGCCAATATCATACTGAATGGGCAAAAACTGGAAGCATTCCCATTGAAAACTGGCACAAGACAGGGATGCCCTCTCTTACCACTCCTATTCAACATAGTGTTGGAAGTTCTGGCCAGGGCAATTAGGCAGGAGAAGGAAATAAAGGGTATTCAATTAGGAAAAGAGGAAGTCAAATTGTCCCTGTTTGCAGATGACATGATTGTATATCTAGAAAACCCCATCGTCTCAGCCCAAAATCTCCTTAAGCTGATAAGCAACTTCAGCAAAGTCTCAGGATACAAAATCAATGTACAAAAATCACAAGCATTCTTATACACCAATAACAGACAAACAGAGAGCCAAATCATGAATGAACTCCCATTCACAATTACTTCAAAGAGAATAAAATACCTAGGAATCCAACTTACAAGGGATGTGAAGGACCTCTTCAAGGAGAACTACAAACCACTGCTCAAGGAAATAAAAGAGGATACAAACAAATGGAAGAACATTCCATGCTCATGGGTAGGAAGAATCAATACATGAAAATGGCCATACTGCCCAAGGTAATTTACAGATTCAATGCCATCCCCATCAAGCTACCAATGATTTTCTTCACAGAATTGGAAAAAACTACTTTAAAGTTCATATGGAACCAAAAAAGAGCCCGCATCACCAAGTCAATCCTAAGCCAAAAGAACAAAGCTGGAGGCATCACACTGCCTGACTTCAAACTATACTACAAGGCTACAGTAACCAAAACAGCATGGTACTGGTACCAAAACAGAGATATAGATCAATGGAACAGAACAGAGCCCTCAGAAATAATGCTGCATATCTACAACTATCTGATCTTTGACAAACCTGAGAAAAACAAGCAATGGGGAAATGATTCCCTATTTAATAAATGGTGCTGGGAAAACTGGCTAGCCATATGTAGAAAGCTGAAACTGGATCCCTTCCTTACACCTTATACAAAAATCAATTCAAGATGGATTAAAGACATAAACGTTAGACCTAAAACCATAAAAACCCTAGAAGAAAATCTAGGCTTTACCATTCAGGACATAGGCATGGGCAAGGACTTCATGTCTAAAACACCAAAAGCAATGGCAACAAAAGCCAAAATTGACAAATGGGATCTAATTAAACTAAAGAGCTTCTGCACAGCAAAAGAAACTACCATCAGAGTGAACAGGCAACCTACAAAATGGGAGAAAATTTTCACAACCTACTCATCTGACAAAGGGCTAATATCCAGAATCTACAAAGAACTCAAACAAATTTACAAGAAAAAAACAAACAACCCCATCAAAAAGTGGGCAAAGGACATGAACAGACACTTCTCAAAAGAAGACATTTATGCAGCCAAAAAACACATGAAAAAATGCTCACCATCACTGGCCATCAGAGACATGCAAATCAAAACCACAATGAGATACCATCTCACACCAGTTAGAATGGCAATCATTAAAAAATCAGGAAACAACAGGTGCTGGAGAGGATGTGAAGAAATAGGAACACTTTTACGCTGTTGGTGGGACTGTAAACTAGTTGAACCATTGTGGAAGTCAGTGTGGCGATTCCTCAGGGATCTAGAACTAGAAATACCATTTGACCCAGCCATCCCATTACTGGGTATATACCCAAAGGACTATAAATCATGCTGCTATAAAGACACATGCACACGTATGTTTATTGCGGCATTATTCACAATAGCAAAGACTTGGAACCAACCCAAATGTCCAACAATGATAGACTTGATTAAGAAAATGTGGCACATACACACCATGGAATACTATGCAGCCATAAAAAATGATGAGTTCATGTCCTTTATAGGGACATGGATGAAATTGGAAATCATCATTCTCAGTAAACTATCGCAAGAACAAAAAACCAAACACCGCATATTCTCACTCATAGGTGGGAATTGAACAATGAGAACACATGGACCCAGGAAGGGGAATATCACACTCTGGGGACTGTTGTGGGGTGGGGGGAGTGGGGAGGGATAACATTGGGAGATATACCTAATGCTAGATGATGAGTTAGTGGGTGCAGCACACCAGCATGTCACATGTATACATATGTAACTAACTTGCACATTGTGCACATGTACCCTAAAACTTAAAGTATAATAATAAAAATAAATAAATAAATTAATTAATTAATTAAAAAAATACCACAAAGGAAAATACTGATAAGCCATATAATCTGTGTCCATATATCACATATAGATTATATCAAAAATGCCACATTCAAAAATAGAAAGGACAAACTGGAAAGGAATATTTTCAACAAATATGATAAGAGGGCAATAGTCTTATTAAGACTATTAAAAATTAAAAGAAAATTAATTACAAACTAAGAAAAAAACTTACTGTGAATCAAGACATCAATAGAAATGTGGGTTATATACAAAAGCAAAATGTCCGATAAGCCATAAATATATTTTTTAAATGTTCAGCCACACCGGTAATCAGTGAGGTGGGAATTAAAACAATGAGATATTGTCCAGCACATATGGAACTGGCAAGGAGAAAGGGAGTTATTTTTGTTCTTGTTTTTAATATTGAATGTGATGATTCAATATTGAATGTGATGATTCAATATTGAATGTGATGATTCAATATTGAATGTGATGATTCAATATTGAATGTGATGATTCAATATTGCTGGTGGCAGGATAAAATAAATTCTGAGGGATGCAAATAAATTGCGCAAATTTTCCGAAAACAATTTGATGCATTAGGAGGCTTAAAATTTATACCTTTTGATTCAATAATTCCATTTCTACAAATGTATCCTAAAAAAGAATTTAGAGCAGCACCCAGGTGAAAATACGGGAGCAATCAACACAGTATTAGCTTTGTCCCAAGTACGTTTACCTCATTATCTAATACATGTTTTGCATTGATTCACATTTTCTAGTTAGACAAATTTATTGTTTTAACTTTTTATTTTGAGAAGGTTGAGATTCATGTGCGGTTATAAAATACAGTACAGGGATCCTTGTACCCTTCACCCAGCTTCCCCCGGTAGGAACGTCTTGTGTAACTGTAACACAGAATCACAACCAGGAAACGGGCACTGACACCTTCATGTTATTCACATTTCCCCTGCTTTACATGTACTTACGTGTGTGCATGTGTGTAATTCAATGCCATTTCATCATGTGTAGATTAGAGAGACCACCACCACAACAAAGATATCATAGGGATCCCTTGTGGTTCACAGCCTTCCTCCCCCTCCACCCTGAGCCCTGGCGGCCACTAATCTGTTCTCCATCCCTCTCATTATGTCATTTCAGGAATGTCATATAAATGGAATCGGACAGGACATAACCCTTGGGACTGGCTTATTTTACTCAGCAAAATCCCCTCGAGATCACCCCAGCTGTGCATGGACAGTTTGTTCCTTTTTGCTGCTGAGGAGGGTTCCGGGGGATGGAGGTACCACCACTTTTCAATGTTCACCTGCTAAAGGATACTTGAGTTGTTTCCAGTCTTTGGCTGCCATGAACATTTGTGTACAGGCTTTACAGTATTATCTTTAAGAGCAAAAAATAAATAAAAAAGAACACAATTTAGAATTCAAATGTCATCCAACCATAGGGAAATAATTAAATAAATCAGGGCAAACTGAATATTTTGGTGTCATTAAAAGTTATGTCTAATTGGCATACTAAATGAGCTAGACTCCAAGGTACAAACAAAAAATGACTTTCTGTTTTTCCCTTCAGCCACTAGCTTCAGGAATGGAACATCTGACCTCTCTTCCTTGCTCCTGAACAACATTTGGACACAAACCAGTTTTTTCGGTTCCTTTCAGGGATTTGATCATGCATTTTCAAAGTATTAAAAAGTCTTGTGTGCTCTAAATCAAAATCTGCCTCTTTCATCCAGTTAAAATCTTCTTCCCTCCACCCAGGGGGAAGTGGGATGTGATGTGGCCTTTCCTCCCCAGCTCCTGTGCCTCCCCTCACCTGTCTGCCACCCCTGCACCCTCCAGGGCTGGGTGGGAGGAAGGAGGAGGGGGGCGCAGAGGCCTTCTACTGTTGTACCAGGTTTCCTGTGGTCTCTACGCCATCCCCTCATGTCAGCTGTGTGGTTCTCTCTCTCTTTCTCTGTGTGTGTGTATGTGTGTGTTTCTGTGTATGAGTGTGAGTATGTGTGTGTGTCTGTGAGTATATGTATGTGTGTATGTGTGTGTGTATGTATGTGTATCTCTCTGTTTATGTATCTCTCTGTGTGTGTGTGTATGTATCTGTTTGTGAGAGTGTAAGTATATATGTGCATGTATGTGTTTCTCTCTGTGTCTCTATGTATGAGTGTATGTCCTTATGGATGTGTGTGTGTGAGTATATATGTTCATGTATGTGTGTCTTTCTTTGTGTCTCTGTGTGTTTCTGTGTATGAGTGTGTGTGTGTCTCTCTGTGTATGTATGTATGTCAGTATATATGTGTATGTATGTGTCTCTCTGTCTCTGTGTGGATCCTTCTCTGTGTGTCTCTGTGTGTGTGTCTCTGTGTGTATCTCTGTGTGTCTCTGTGTGTCTGCGTGTGTCAGTCTCTCTGTGTGTCTCTGTGTATGTCTCTGTGTGTCTCTCTCTGTGTTTCTGTGCTGTGCCTCTGTGTGTGTGTGTCTGTGTGTCTCTCTGTGTCTGCATGTGTGTGTCTCTCTGTGTGTGTCTCTCTCAGAGTGTTTCTGTGTCTGTGTCTCTGTGTATCTCTGTGTGTGTGTGTCTGTGTGTCTCTCTGTGTCTGTGTGTCTGTGTGTCTCTGTGTGTGTCTGTGTGTGTGTGTCTCTGTGTGTCTCTCTCTGTGTGTCTCTGTGTCTGTGTCTCTGTGTGTCTCTGTGTCTGTGTCTCTGTGTGTCTCTGTGTATGTGCCTCTATGTGTCTCTCTGTGTCTGTGTGTCTCCCTGTGTCTGTGTGTGTGTCTCTCTGTGTGTCTGCATGTGTCTCTCTCTGTGTGTCTCTGTGTGTGTGTCTCTGTGTATGTGTCTCTGTGTGTCTCCCTGTGTCTGTGTGTCTCCCTGTGTCTGTGTGTGTGTCTCTCTGTGTGTCTGCATGTGTCTCTCTCTGTGTGTGTCTCTGTGTCTCTCTCTGTGTGTCTCTGTGTCTGTGCCTCTGTGTGTCTCTGTGTGGATGTCTCTGTGAGCGTCTCTGTGTGTCTGTGTGTGTGTGGCCTTTCCTCCCCAGCTGCTGCCCCTCCCTTCGCCAATCTGCCACCCCTGCACCCTCCAGGGCTGGGTGGGAGGAAGGAAGAGGGGGGCCAGGTTTCCTGTGGTCTTTTGACGCCGTCTCCTCACGTCAGCTGTGTGGTTCTCTCTCTCTTTCTCTGTGTGTTTGTATGTGTGTGTCCAAATGTGTGTCTCTCTTTCTCTCTCTCCCTGTCTCTCTGCATATCTCCCCTTACTCCCTGCCCTTGGGCATGCAGTCTTTGGAGTCCCCTTCACTGGCTGGAGCCTCCGCCCTGCCGCTTACAGAGGCACCCACTGCCCTCCACCTGCACCGCCCCCTACTCCAGCAGGCGACTGTGTAGTGAGGGGCCTCTTCCAGACCCAGGGTCCTTTCAGCCTGCAGGAAAGCTCCACTCTGCCTACTCTGGAGGTGCTTTGCTCCCTACTGTGCCTCCTCTGTGCTCTGAGAGGAAACAGCCTCCAGAGCCGCCTGGGGAGTCGCTGACCGAGCTCTGCAGGACTTTGCCTGAAATCCTTCCCTGCTCTCTTTTCTCTACCCCCACTGGTTTCTCCTGGGAGCGCTTCCTTAACAAACCCTCATCTCAAGGGCTGCTCCGGGAGAACCTGACCCAAGTTCTGAAGGTGAGAATGGAAGCCCACATGTTGGGGACCTTGTCTTGGACGAGAGCTTGGAATAAGGGGACCAGGTGTGGATCACCTGTTAGATGAGGCTCTCACACGTTGTCTCATTTGATCTAGGCAAAAACCCCATGATTAAGGAATTGTCTTCCCATTTGGGACTCATTGTGAAGTTAAGGATTTTTCCTAAACCCGGGGTCCCAGGTTAGCAGCATCTGTATTGCCTGGAAGGTCGTTGGAAATGCAGATTCTCAGCCCCACCCCTGAATAGCTGAGGCACTGGGCTTTGAGAACCTCTGCTCCAGATCCTATACCAAGCCTGTGGAGGGGCCAGAATCGAAACCCGGGCCTAATGCCTGGTTATGTCCACTGAGATGGAAAAGCATGATGCAAAATTAACTATACCATATAAACCCAATTAAAGCAGATCTGAGAAAGGAAGGCAGATAAACGTGAAAGAAAGAGCCATTATGCTGTCTCCAATACCCCATCAGTTCTAAGATTCTACGACCATTTAAATATGTCTAACACATGACTGCCTATGTTGCACAGATCCAAGATTCCTTGAAAAGAAATAGTGGATAATGCTAAGCAAAGTTGAGTACTTTACCAAGCCCTGGAATGAATTAGCTAAAAATATCGAGTGTAGTGTAGACTAAGGGGTGTCATGTTCCTCCAACATCAGAAAAAGTCATCCAGAAACAAGAGCCATTGCAAAGGAGGGGGGCTTTCTGAAGACAGAGACAGGATGAGTCAAAGGGGTTGCCTGGGGTATGCTTAAGGAGGTGCTCATTCTGAGGTGTGAACCCCGTCCTTGCACATCCCAGAGAGTGGTGCCTCCTTAAGAGTGAGCACTTTCTCAATTTTGCAGCCCAGGTACCCTTACACTAGTCCTGTCCTTGGAGCAATTGCACAAAACTGTCAATGACAAGGAGATTCTAGACGTATATAGAGGCCTATTGTGAGTGTCACACAGAGAGAGAGTAGCCACACAGTGGATCCCTAGTGGAATATTTCACATCAGGTCTTTCTATAAGACCTCAGCTAATGCAGAATGAACAAGGTTGGAAACCAACTAAAACATTAGTGTACAGAAGAAGGGAAGTCATTAAAATGCAGAATTCCAGGCTTGGTCCCAGAGATTCTGCCCTCCCCGCCACCCCATCTGGAGTGGGGCTCCTGCTTTTGCCCCAGGTGTCTGTGGGAGATGGTCCCATGACCACACCCCAAGGAATGCTGCTCCTGAGCTGGGGAGGAGACCCTCAGCACCTGCTCCAAATTAGGCACACTCCATTGCAGGTAAGAAGTTTTAGATGGCTTCAGAAAAATCACGAAATCATCCATTGAAAAAGTAAAGCTCCAAGTGTTTTGAATACCCCAGTGTAGGCAGTTTCCTGGGAGCATGAATCTCCTGGGTGTTCCTTCTCAGAGGCCATTCAAACCAACCTGCCCCCATTCCCGTGGAGGAAGCAGTTGCCCACTGCTTTGTTGTTTTCTTGTCTAAAGGGTGCCCACTTCCCTTAGTGGGAGTTTCACCCATACACCCAGAAAGTCACACTCCTGGAAATAAGTCAGCTTTGGCCAAATTACAGAAATCAAGTGCTGGGAAACCAATGGGACCTTAAAGATTCCTTTTGTCCATTAGCTTTACCTAGGATTCGGTGGTCTTTTGGTATTAGTGCCAAAAGACAAAATTACAACAAATTTAGTTTGAAAATCTAATTGGCTTTTACTTGGAATTCCAGAATTGGACAACACTTCATTCCATAAATTAGAATGAGTGTTCTGCTGGGGATGACAGAGCAGAATGGTTAGTTTGTGGAAGGTGGGAAAAAGGAAATGGAGCCATCAAAAAAGCAGATCAATGAACAGCAGGTCACTACACTTTTTGGTGAACAGCAGATCACTTTTCTTGTAAAGAGGAACTTCATTATGACACTGACTCAGACAGACCGGGCTGTTTCTAATTGGTTGCTATGAATCTACTGTTTTTAGGCAAAACTGGTCTGTTTGAGGCTCTACCTGCTTCCTTAAAATTTTGGTGTGATTTTGTGTCACTTAGCATGAGTGACTTCATTTTGGTTTGGTCTGGTCTGCTGGGGCCTAGTCCAAAGCAATGGATTCCTGTAAACTTTTTTCAACATTAGTATTAAGTGGTAAGGAATTTATTATTGAACAGCACTATTATTTTGCTGTTCTTAATAAGGCATTGAACAAATTGATTTCTGTGTGAAAGCAAAAGAGTGTAGATAGTGCTGTCCTGACCCTTTGTCTTTTTCCTTGTCTACAGTAAATCTGACCAAGGGGCCTGCCATGCTCTTGGGGTGGCCCAGTCCTGCTGGCCCTGCCGGCCCTGCCAGTCATAACATCAGCATCCAGACAAGAGCCACGCTGGGCACTAGTTCTCACAATTGTCCTGCAAAGTAAATGTCGTCATCTGCACATGGCAGACCAGGAAACTGAGGCTCACCATATGAAAGGCTGACATCAGCATCACTGCCGGGATTAAACCCAGGATTCTCGAGCTCCCAGCCTGCACCGTTCCCTTCACTGCTCATCATGAGAAGCCTCTGTCAACAGCCCCCAAGGCTTTCTTGTGACAACAGGACACCGGCAATCCATAGGTATATCCAGAACCCTGGCTGGGTAGCTCTGTAGCTCCATGCTTTAAAACCACGAGGGCACTATGGGTCAGAAGCAGATCTGCCTAGAGATGCTTTGTCCACCCAGCAGAATGTCCCCAGCTCTGTGCTGGCTGAGCACTGGATCAAGAGTGGCCTGAGAACAGGGACAAACCTCCTGGTTAGCCTTGGCCCTAACCACTGTAGGCACTCCATAAGCAATCATTAAACACACAAGAACCTAATCTAATGCCAGGCGTTCTGCTAAAGGCTTGCTGTGTTATCTCCTGGAATCCTGTGGCAGAGATAGTGGTTGTCTACACCAACCATTATTCTTCTTCCCTCCTTAGTTGTACAGCCCCGGTATTTTCAGCTAGACGAAATGGCACAGGTCAAAATCTTTATTCACCTCTCTCCCTGCAGTTAAAGGTAATCATGTGTCCTATTCTGTCTGATGGAATGGAAATTAATTGTTTTGTGAGAATATTGGAAATCCCTTCAACTGAGAAGAGCAACCTTCAGTCCCCATCATCTGCCTCATTCCTGCTGCCAGCCTGGAATGCTGACATGATGGCTGGAGCTTTGTCAGCTATCTTGGACCATGAGGTGACCTTGAGGATGAGAGCTACATGAGGGGGCCAGGAAGAAAGAGGAGGGCCTGCTCCACAATGATACCATAAGGTTGCCTTTCTGCTGAGCTGCAAGGCTCCAAACATTTTTAAACCACTGAGATTTGGGATTTCTCTGTTCTACTGCAATTAAGCCTAACCCAAAACGTTCAATAAATGATCTCCGTAATCTTGAAAGGGTAGACTAGGAAGGTTCAGAGTTGATTGTGGAATTTTCTTACTCCTCTGCAACTCTGGCATTTGGGAGACTATAGTAAAGTCAGATAGAATCTTCAGGCACTGCAGAGCACCCTGAAATGTTCTGGAGATGTGTTCTTCTCCCAAGCAAGGGGAAATGATGGCTGGCTGGTAAGTGGTGTCCACAAACCTGTTGTTCACACCCTCTGTCTGCTGCCTGTGTGTGAACAGAAAGGCAAAAGACTTTCTAGGCTTAATCTTGAAGTAAAAAAGAAAAGATATTGAAATACCACCTTACACTGACTGCCTTCAGCTACAGAAGAATTAACCCCCATTAATCATTATGGTGATAATTGTACAATATATAAAATATACTATGTAAAGTATGCAATTAAATAATTGTCATTTCTCATAAGCTCTTATGGGATCATTTCAAGATAATAAGCGGGGTTAATAATGTTGTCAAATTAAACCTACATCATTTCTATGCCCATTGCCAAGGTATTTACCTCCCTGGGCCTGGCGTCCTCATCTATAAAATGAAGAACGTGAGCGAGATGCTCTCAGGAACCTTTGGATCTATGGATCAGGCAGGTAAACTGTGGCAGTTCTGGGCACTGGCAGAAATGAGGCCATTTCCTTTGCCACCTGAGATTTGACTTGGAAATCTGAGAAAAATCTTTACCATAATGAGAAAGTGATTCTGTCTCCCTCTTGGAGATACACAGCACTTTTTGCTTCCAACATTCAAACAAGCTCCCTATAGCAAAGGGAATCGAGTGGCATGCCCCAATCTTGCCGGGGTAACAGCACGTGTATAACAAGGGGATAAGCAGCCAAGGCTGCCTGTGGTTGGAGGGGACCGGCTGCCCTCCCCACACCTGCCTGGCTGTACCCAGGGCCGAGGAGAACCATACGTGGCACGTCTATAACCCACTCATGGAATACTGGAAGGGGCTGGACTCAAGTACCAGGAAATCAAGAAAAGTAAACCTTTTTTTGCCTTATTTGTCTGGTGATCGGATTTACTTTTTTGGTTTGGTTTTGCCTAAAATACAAGCACAAGGGATGGGACCTTGCAACAAACTATGCAAAGGTGTCTCGGAGCAACTTCCCCAAACCCTAGGCCTGTCTGTCCACAGGCTCTTGTCCTCCTTGCCCAGGCCCCAGCTGTGGGAAATCCCTTGGCTGGCCAAAGCTGCCAAGCCCTAGTGTGAACAGCAGGCCCATCCTTCCCTATGGTGTCCTCAAACTCAAGCCCAAGTTTGTTCTGCCTCATGGACAAGCCCCTGTCCCTCCTCTTGTGACCAGTGTCAATATTCCACCAAATGATGGGCTGGGTATTCAGGGAAAAAATGAAAGAGAGAGAAGTGCTGAAAATCCCTTCACCTAGGAAGAGCAGCCTTCAGTCCCTACCATCTGCCTCCTTCCTGCTGCCAGCCTGGAATGCTGACATAATGGCTGGAGCTTTGTCAACCATCTTGGACCATGAGGTAACCTTGAGAATGAGAGCTACATGAGGGTGCCGAGAAGAAAGAGGGGAGCCTTCTCCACAATGACATCATGGGGTTGCCTTTCTAGTGCTGGACTACCTGGCTCCAACCATCTTCTTTGGACATGAAAAACATGAATTGGATTTTGTTTTGCATCAGGGCCAGATGACTGTCATCCAGATGTCCCTCTTCATTGTTTGTGAGCACAGATGAGGGACAGTGGCAAAGGCTGGGATTCTTGAGTTAGGAGCCTTCCTTCTAATTCTAGTTCCTTCACATTCCTAACTGTTGCTTTTCTCTGTGTGAAATGGGAATGTGCTACTGACATTAATGAATATCTGTTAAAAAACCTACTACTTGCCAGGTGCTATTGCTGGGGTGGAAGGAGATTATGATAAGCAAGCCTGCCCCGGTGTGATGTTCAATGTGCTGCCCAGAACCCCTGAAGGGAGGACTTGCTGCTCAGAGGCTGGTGGGGGGTGTGAGTGGGCAGCCTCCAGCTGTTGGCCCCTTTAGGGTCCCATTGGCACAGAGTCACCTACCCAAAGGCCCACCCTTCTCAAGGCAGCCCCCATCCAATGACAGATCAAAGAAGCAGGATGACAAACTGGCCATATTAACCCAACTTAAGATGCCTCTGAAGGGCCGTGCTAGCCCCAGATCTCTCCATGGTATGGGCTGAGTCCCCGTTGGGCCTCCAGGAATCACAGCTTGATTTTCCCTCTGTCCACACATGATTCAAGCCCCTCTCTGCCATGGGGATTGGTCCCAAGGGCCCTCCTTAATATACCTTTTGCCCACCAAACTCTTTCTCAGAGTCTGCTTCCCGGGAAATCCAGCCTGAGATAAAGCAGCCTGCTCTCTCTTTGGCCACCAAGTTGAGGAGATAAATGATAAAGCAATTTTGTGAGGACTGTGTAGAGGAGCGAATGAGATGATGTGTGTGAAAGCACTTCAGCAACACAAAACTACTGTTGAAGCTGTGGGTTACCTTTATTTCTAGTGGTTTGGAGTGAGTTGAATTGCTTGGGAAAAAAAAAAAAACCCTGCCAATTTTCCTTCTCCATCTTCAAAGCCTGCAAGGCGTGTCTGACTCAGGCAGGGGTGGCAATGCCTAGGGCCTCTCAGGGAGAGGAGCTAAGAGGACTTCAGGTACCCTAAGAAAATCTCATGGCTCGTGTCTGCCAAACACCTGTCATTAGCGCAAGCCCAATTCCAGAGGTTGCAAAAACGAGAGAGCCGCGTGACCCCCAAGCCCAGGTGACAACTTTCCAAGTTCCTCTATGCTATAGCCAACAGTGCAGAAGCAGAATCCTTGGCTCCAAACCACTAATGAACTCCTTCTAGCTCCAGGTTTAATTAGTTTTCATTGCAATATTAATGATCCTAACAAACCATTTCAACTTTCCTGTTTCACAGTTGGATTTCTTTATTTGGCATTTGGTCTCTTTATAAGAAAATCCCACATGCATCCCCCTCCCCACTTGCCCCATCAAGAGGGAATAAGATCACATTCTTATTTTGCTTATCACTTTGGCCAGCCCAGGGACAGTAGCTTTAATAATTTTGAAACTGGGAACATTAAACACATCACAAACTGCCATACAAATAACATATAATATAACTCCAGGATTTTAATTACAGTGACTAATATATGTACCAATCCTAAAATCTCTGTAGTACCATTAGGCCACATGCATGGACATTATTGGGAGGTTTAAAATTTGCACAAGGTGTGTCATTAGTTGATCCAAGATCTTCCAGATCTAGTTCTCGCCTGGGACTCAGAATTCTTTTGTTGGGCACTTTGAACTATCCAGCCACAGGCAGTGCTATTTTCATTAGTGACAATGAAAAATGATTAAACACTTCCACCAGTTCAGATCAGTTTTTGTTGAGGGCAGGTTTGGCTGCATGGCAGAGCAAGTAAGCATTTGCTGGGGGATTCCACTGGCTCCTTATTTTCCTTGCCTCTTCAATGGAAGAGAGAAGAAACAGCAAACAGGAACTACGCCCTGCCTGCTTCCAGAAATTCTCTGACCTGGCCTCAAGGGCATGTGATCTGGATTTATGAGAGAAGTCACTAGATTTTAGATGCAGTGTCTTTCCAGGAAGAGACTGGAATGTGGGTGAGCTATCAGATGGTGACTGCTGGAAACTGAGTTGCGTCCCCCACAGGCCTCTCCAAAGAAAGGCCAGCAGCCTGGGCTCAAGGTCCAAGGATGTGCAATGAACTCACACTCAACACGACTGGCAGCACACAGCAGCCAAGCCACAAAGGGCAGCCGGGCTGAGCTTGCAGTGAGCGGCCAAGCTCAGAGGTACAGTCCACATGACCAGACCCCAGCAGGCAACCTGGAGAGGGACTCAGGACCAAGAAAGGCAAACTGGCCACACAGATGGGGTGAGGAAAGGGGCCAGTCTTGGACATTCACACTGAGGATGGAGAGCAAACCACTCCAGAGTCCATATGCTAGTAAGGAAGGAATTCCTTGCATTCTTCCAGCGCTTAGAAAGGGAAGGCTTTTACTGCCCACGGCTCAGGGGAGCAGCTTCAGTCAGGACCGTTGACATTGCCTCCTGAGTGACAGGCCCCAGTACAAAGTTATCCAGGCTAGGACCACTCCTGGGACAACATCCCCAAACAAGAGTCCCTGCCCCAGGCCTGGCTTTACCAATCCCTGTGCCCCTGGAAACACACACCATAGCCAGAAGATTCTTCCTTGAAATTGTCCCATCCCTGCTTACAACCTCTCAAAACCCATAAAGTGCTACATGCCACACTGACCAAGAGGTCAGTGTCCCCAGTGGTCCTCATAGGACCTGTTTATGTCACTGCCCAGGACTTCAGAGGGCACCAGAGCTCCTAGCAAGATCTCAATAACCAGTCAGAAAATGGAAGAGGATGAAAGGACCAACGTGCAAACACAATTGTGAATTATTTATAAATAAACTTAACAGGAAATGTGCACAATCTATATATTTTTTAATTACTAAATGTTAGTGAAAAAAAAAAGACAACCTGAGAAATGAAGGGACATACCTTATCACTGGATGGAAAGTCTCAATCTCTTTAATATATCAATCTCTCCAAATTGATCTATACATTTATTTCAATTCCAAGTGAAATCCCAGGACATTTTATGTTTGTGGAAAGAAAAATGATTCTTAATGTACATGGGAATGTGAAGACCTAGAATAGGCAAGTCAACCTTGAAAAAAAAAGAACAAAGTTTAAGGACTTGCAGGACCAGATCTCAAGACTTACTAGAAACCTATGGTAATTAATAGTTGAGGTTTTGGCATAAGAATAAACAAGGATACCTTAAAGTTTTCAGAAAGGGAAGATAAAAATGGGCCTCAGCCTGGGAAACATGGTGAAACCCTGTCTACAAAAAATACAAAAAAAAAAATTAGCCAGGCATGGTGATGCGTGCCTGTAGTCCCAGCTACTTGTCTGGGGGCTGCGGTGGGAGGATCACTTGATCCCAGGAGGTTGAGGCTGCAGTGAGCCAAAGTGGTGCCACTACACTCCACCCTGGGCAACAGAGTAATACCCTGTCTTGAAAAAAAAAAAAGTGGGTCTCCTAGAAAGGAGGTAAAACCATTCACACTTCTGGCTGTGCATCAACCAAACTAACCACTAAAAGATTATGAAGCAATGCCTTTAAAATCCTGGGAGAAAAATTGATTTTCAACCTGAAATTTCACACCATACAAACTGAAATGAGAGAAAGGAATAAACACATGTTTACAGACGCCAAGATTTGGAAAGTGTACTTGCCTCAAAGCCTTCCTTATGGTTAGTTGAGAATGGACTCCAGCAAAACAAGGGAGGCAACCATGGCTAAGGAAGACACAATGCACAGCAAGCGCTTGAGCAAGCCCAAGAAAGAAAGGAAGGCAGTGCCCAGTGACAACTGCAGACAGCGCTGAGAGCCAAAGTTCAGGTCAGAAAGGAGGATGGGGGCTCCAGGATGTAAAAAAAGGAACATGACCATGGTGAGATTTTTGGGTTTTCTTTTTGTCACCATATATTTCAGACTAGGCACCAGTGAGCTTGGAGCCCAGAAGTGCCAAGAGGCAAAAAGAAAAACAAAAAAGAAACAAATAAACAAAAAACCTGTCTCTGGCCAAAATACAAGGTGTCAGCAAATCTTCCCACAGCTGCAGCACCAGCAGAGCTGGGAAGAGAAGTAGCCTGCCCCCTGCTTCACACTCAGGAGCAGCAGTGAACCCGGTGCACCCATGTGTGGCAAGCAGGACCAGGGCCAGGCCGGCCCATCCATCTCCTGCCTCACACAGGCCAGCAGCATTGGGCCTGATGTGCCTGCAGATGCAGAGCCAGCAGAGCCTAGTGGGAACACCCATCCCCTGCTTCACAGCAGCCAACAGCAGTGGTCCAATCTGCCTGGAGCAGCGTTGCCAATGGGGCTGGGGTCAACCCATTTCCCATATCACACCTGTGTATTCAGTATCTGTGGCAGCAGATTACCATAAAATTAGTGGCTTGAAATATCACAAATTTATTATCTTAACTGTTCTGTAGGTCAGAAGCTGGTTGTGAGTCTCAATGAGCTAAAATAAGGGTGTTGGCAGAGCTGTGCTCCTTTTTGGAGGCTCTGGAAACAGCCTGTTTCTTGCCTTATTCAGCTTCCAGAGGACACTTGCATTCCTTGGATCATGGCCCCTTCCATCTTCAAAGCCAGCAATGGCCAGTCAGATCTTTCCTAAACTGCCATCTCTTCCAATTCTGCTCCTCTATTAAAGGCTCTGTGATTACATTGGGCCCACCAGGGTAATTTCCCTATTTTAAGGTCAGCTGAGTAGCAATCTCAATTCTGTCTGCAACTTTAATTCCCTTTTGCCATACAACATCACATATTCACAGACTGCAAAAATTAGGATGTAGACATCTTTAAAGAGCCATTATTCTTCCTACCACACCACCTACAGTGGCAGGCATATCTCCCCACATCAGCTATGTCAGCAGAGCAGAGAGGACTGCCAGAACCTACATGCTAAACCTAAACAGAAAAACAGCCTGCTAAAAATGAAGATTCAAATAAAATCAAGAGTGTCCTAACATAATATCCAGAGTATAATTGAAAACTACTTATCATACCAGAACCAGGAAAATCATAACTTAAGAAGACAATAAACCAATATCAATAGAGAGATGAGTCAGATACTGGAACTATCTGACAAACATTATAAGGCAGTCATCATAAAATTGATTCAACTAATAATTATGAATTCTCTTGAAGCAAATGAAAAAATATAAAAGTTCAGCAAGGAAATTCAAGTTACAAAAAAAAACATAAAACTGAAAAACACAAAAAATTTAAAACTTAATGAAAAGGCTCAATAATAGGGTAGAAATGAGAGAACATAAGATAAATTAACCTGAGGATAGATAAATAAAATTTATTCAACATAAAGGACAGAAAGTAATCAGACTAAAGCAAAAAGCTAACAGAGCCTCAGGCCACATTGGACATTAACAAAAGATCTAAACTTCACATCATTACAGTCCCCCCAAAAATGGAGAAAGAATAGGTGGCTTAAAAGTATTTGAAGAAAGAATGGCTGAAATCTTCCCAAATATGGTGAGAAATATAAACTTACAGATTGAAGAAGCTAAGCAAACTTCAAATAGGACAAATCAAAAGAAAGTCACATCAAGACACATGACAATTAAACTTCTGAAAATTAAAGACAAAGAACAAAACCTTAAAAGTATCCAGAGAGAAGTGAAAATGAAACTTTAATTAATTATGGTAGATGTCTTATCTGAAACTATGGAGTCTAGGAGGAAATGGAACATTTTCCATGTGCTAACTGAAAAGGACTGTCAACCTCAAATTCTATATCCAGTGAAACTATCATTCAGGAGAATTTGTAGCACTAAATGCTTAACGTAGAAAAAAAGAAAAAGTTTCAAATCAATAATCTGAGTTCCTACCTGCAGAAGCCAATAAAGAAAAACAAAATAAGCCTAAAAAGGTGAAAGGAATGAAATAATACAAACAAGAGCAGAAATCAATAAAATTGAACAGGAAAACAATAGAGAAAATCAATAAAAACAAAAACCTACTGCCTAAAAAAATTACTAAAATTGATAAACCTCTAGCAGGACTGATAAAGATAAGAAGAGAGAAGACACAAATTACCAATATCAGGTAGAAAAGGAGAGATTTCACTACAGATCCTGCAGCCATTGAAAAGAAATGTTTTAAATGCTACAAGCAACTTAACACTCATGGATTCAACAACTTAGAAGAAATTTGACCAAGTTCTCAAAAACCACAACTATAAAATTCAACCAGATGAAATAAATAACCTGAATAGTCCTGTAACCATTAAAGAAATTGAGTTTGTAATTTTAAAGTTCCCAAGAAATAAATCTCCAAGCCCAATGTCTTCACTTGATAATTATACCAAACGGAATTATATCAATTTTATACAATTTTGACAAGACAATGGAAGAGGGAATACTCCTTAATTCATTTTATGAAACCAGTATTACCTTGATACCAAAACCAGAAAAAGATATCACAAGAAAACTATAGACCAATAGCCTTATGAAATTAGATGCAAAAACCTTCAACAAAATAATAGCAATTTTAATTCAATGATGTATAAGAATAATTATATACCATGACCAAATGGGGTTTATTTTAGCTGTGTAAGACTTATTCAGAATTTGAAAATGAATCAATGTAATCCACCATATCAAAAGGCTAAAGAAGAAAAATCACATGATCATATCAATTGACACAGGAAAAATATTTGACAAAATACAACACCCTTTTCCCACACGGTGGCTCACACCTGTAATCCCAGCACTTTGGGAGGCTGAGGCTGGTGGATCTCGAGGTCAGGAGATCGAGACTATCCTGGCTAACACAGTGAAACCCCGTCTCTACTAAAAATACAAAAAAAAAATTAGCCAGGCATGGTGGCAGGCACCTGTAGTCCCAGCTAGTCGGGAGGCTGAGGCAGGAGAATGGTGTGAACCCGGGAGGCGTGGGTTGCAGTGAGCTGAGACCATGCCACTGCACCCCAGCCTAGGTGCCAGAGCGAGACTCCATCTCAAAAAAAAAAAAAAACTCCCAGCAATTCAGGAATAGAAGGTAATCACCTCAAGATGATAAAGAGCATTTACAAAAAAAGAAAATGTACAGCTAACACTATACTGAATAGTGAAAAAAATTGAATCCTCCCCGACTAAATCAAGAACAAGGTAAATGTGTCCGATCTCATCACACCTATTCAACATAGTATCAGAAGTTCTAGCCACTGCAATAAGGTAAGAAAAATAAATAAAAGGCATACAGATTGGAAATGAAGAAATAAAACTGTCCCTATTTGCAGATGCATAATTGACTACATAGAAAATCCCAAGGAAACTACAAAAAAAAAATCTAAAACTAGTGAGTTCATGAAGGTGGCAAAATACAAGACCAACGCACAAAAATAAATTGCATTGCTACATACATAAATAAATATTCTGAAACTAAGATTAAAAACATGTCATTAACAATTGCTCCACAGAAAATGAAACACTTGGGCATAAAACTGACAATGTGTATAAGATCTGTATGCTGATCATCATAAAATGTTGAGGAAAGAAATAAAAAAAAAGATCTAAATAAGGGAGTCACATCATGTTTATGGACTGGAAGACTCGCCATAGTAAAGGTGCCAATTCTTCCCAAATTAATCTATAGAGTTAATGCAATTACTATCAAAATTCCAGCAAGTGTTTTGTAGACATAGACAAAGTATTCTAAAATTTATGTATACAAACCTCAAATAACTTAGACAATCAAGAAAAAAACAGAATGAAGGAGGGATAATCACTCTACTCAATATTAAGTCTTACTCTAGAGCTACAAAATTCAGCCATTGTGGTCTTGGTGGGGGATAAATACATAAAACAATGGAACAGAATAGAGAACACAGAAGTGGACCCACACAAAATGCTTGTATCCATTTTCTAGAAGTGCCATAACAAAACACCACAACAAGATGGCTTAAACAACAGAAATTTGTTTTCTCACAGTTCTGGAATCTGGATATCCAAGATCAAGGTGTCCACAGAGTTGGTTTCTTTGGTGAACTCTTCTTGGCCTATAGGTGGCTGTCTTCTCCTTGTGTCTGTGTCCTCAACTCTTCGTATGAGGACACCAGTCTTATGGGATTAGGGCCCACTCTAATGACCTCATTTAACCTTAATTGCCACTTTAAAGACCCTGCCACCAAATACGGTCACATTCTGAGATACTAGAGGTTAGGATTTCAATACATGAATTTCAGAGGGGACAAAATTTAGCCCATAACAAGTCCAGCTGATTTTTAACAAAGGTACAAAAGCCACTCAATGGAAGAAACAGAGCCTTTACGACAAACAGTGCTGGAGCAATGAGACATCCAAATAAACGTCTACCTAAGTCTCACATCTTGTACAAAGATTAACACAAAACAATGGATTGCAGACTTCAATGTTAAACACAAAACCATACACCTCTTAGAGAAAGATAGGAGTAAATCATTGGGATCTAGAGCTGGACAAAGAATTCTTAGATTTGACGCCAAAAGCACCAGCTATAAAAAGAAAAATGATACAACGAGCCATGTCAAAATTTAAAACTTACTCTACAAAAGACCCTGTTGGGAGGATGAAAAGATGTGGAGAAGATATCTGCAAATCACATATCTCACAAAGGACTTACATCTAAATACAAAGAGCTTCGAAACTCAAGGGGAAAAAAGCAAATAATCAAATTTAAAAATGGACAAAAGACATGATCAGATATTTTACCAAAGAGGATGCACAGATAAAAAAATAAACACAAAAAAAAAGATGTTCAACATCAGCAATCACTAGGAAGTGCAAATTAAAACTACCAAGAGCTATCACTACATACCTGTCAGATTGGCCTTTTACAGTCTTTAAAAAGTGATGCGGAGGAATGGATCACTCATATATTGCTGACAGAAATATAAAATAGTACAGCCATTCTGGAAAACAGTTTGGCAGTTTCTTAACCAAGTAAATATGCAATTATCATATGATCTGTCATTGCACTCTTGGCCATTTAGCCCGAAGGAATGGAAATTTACCTTCACACAAGATCCTGTGCCTATGACAGCCCAAGTCCAAGGCTTGGGAAGTGGTTGGCTAAATTGGAAACTGACCAGTTCCAAAGGAAAGTGACAATGGATGACCAATGGAGAACCCTGTTTATAAGGAATGCGTGAGCATGACATTCATGGCATTTATTTTCAGGGACACCCCTCATTTCATGCTGTTCGACACTTTCTGTACCCCACTGCCTATCTGTATGTCCAGATCTCTTGGTTTAGTCACTGCTGCCTCAGCCTGTGACAAACTAGCAGGCTTCAACCTGCTTTGGGAACAGCACCTTCATCTCCTGGACCCCACACTTCAGGCCTCTCTCACTTTCTGCCTCAGACCCTTCCTGATTCCAGGGCATGTGGGCACTTCTGTGGGGATCCACTGAGCATTCACACAGGTGCAGTCCCAAAGTGCAGAGATGTTAATACCCAGGGCCACCCTTGGCCTGTGGGAGGAGAGGAACCAAAAGATGAAAGACTCCCACCTAAGCCCCAGGAAGACAGTTCTGAAAGACATTTCAAAAGGCTCTTCAGAAGATTCCAGCCAGTGGAGTACCAGTCCTCTCCCTTAGTTGCGAGCAACGCCTGTCATGAATCCTGGAAATGCCTCTGAGTTTTTCTCTGCCCACTCCCTCAGTCCTAGACTTGGCATCCCTGGAACGCTTCCCAAATGCACTGCCTGTCTATCCATTCATTCATTCATCTGTCCCTCCATCCCCTCATGCACTCATTCATCCATCTGTTCATCCATCCACTCATCTGTCCATCTACCTATTCTTTATTTCATTCATCTATTCATCCATCCATCCATTCACATATCCATCCACCTTTCCATCCATTCCTTCATTCAGCAGACCTTTGCTGCATTCTGGGAGCCCACATGATGCCAGGCCCTGGAAGATATCAATGACTATGACACGGTCCTTGCCCCTGAGCAGCTCATGGCCTCTCCAGGGAGGTGGATGCCACATCCATTGCCCTTGGCTAACGAGGTACCCCTCCTTTTCCTCTCATTGTGCCCTACACTTCCCTCATTAAAGAGTGTCAGAATTGTTTGTATGACTTCCCCCTGGGCTGTGAGCTGCATGATGGAGAAAGCTCACACTCACACAGATGAACACCCATAGCACCATCCTCAGTGCTCTGCATAGATAATTCTTAGCAATTCAAAGAAGCAAGAACTTCACAGCTGAGGAAAATGAAGCCCAGAGGGGTGGAATGATTGGCCCAAAGTCACACAGGTAGTTCAGTCCAGACACTCTGGCTCCAGAGCCTGTGCCCTGGCCTGTGACCTTCAATGTCTGGTCGGAAAGCTGGCTGGAATGCTGTGTTCACTGCAAAATCCCAGAACCTTGTGCAGTGCCTGGCCCCTGGAAAGGCTCAGCAGAGCAGTAAGCACAAGGTGCACAGCAGCACAGGGAAGGGGCATGGCTGTCTGCTGGGTACCAGAAGGGAGAAGAGGGAAGGGAGAGAGGAGAGGGGGAGAGAAAGAGGAGGTGGGAAGGAAGGCAGCAGCCTTGAGCAGGGCCCCTGGGGCTGGGATGTAAGACCTGAAAGAGGATCAGTGACAGTGATATGAGATGCCACGTGAGCAGGGCTGATTCTGAGGGGCTCCTATCCAGCAGGGGTGAGAAATCATTAACACACTTGGGCAGGGAATGTGACAAAACCAGAGCATCAATGGCAGGGCTGCTGCGTGACACAGGCTAACAGCAGGGAGACTGGGGCAGGGACAGTGGTCAGGTTGCAGTTGCAGGGACCTGGGTGAGGCTGTGGGAGCAGGCCAGAGGTAGGTGGCACCTGGGGAGAGGGGAGAGGAAGGGAGGCAGTGGAAATGTCCCAGCTTGTGTGAATGAGTGTGTGATGGTGCCCCTCAACCCCCAAAATCAAAGCAACCATTTCCTGAGGGCCTACAGTGTGCCAGGCCCTGGGGCAGGCCCCGACATAACATCTAGCTTTGCAATGGCAACAGTGCTACAAGTGGGTTTTTTCCTTCTCATTTTACGGAGGAGAAAACTGCCTGAGCTTCTGGAAGCTCCCATGGGCAGTGCACGATGTGGAGGATGGGGTGGGGAGGTCCGTGTGACTCCAGGGCACCATGCCCCAGGAGGCTACACTCAGGTCATCGTCACTCAGCAAAGAGCCTGACACGGTGACAGCTGACCAGGCTTTGTGAGTGGCGTGGTGGCCAAGAGCCAAGCTACAAATCATGCCACGTTGCCACGAATCTATGTGTGGTCTGCTTGCTCCAGCTGTCTCAGCTCAACCGGATCTATTGACGATTCACTAATCCAGCCGATAGCTGGGCAGCTGACCCACAAACTCATGCTGCTGGGCCCAAGGTGACACCAAGCCTGCTCCCAAGCCCTCAGATTAGTGGGTGTTAGTTCATCATTAAAGAGTCGACTTCAGCATGATTTACCTTGCCCAGGGTGCCCTGGACGGTGCAGCAGCAGGCACCCCGAATGTCTGCTTTCCTCTGTGGCATATCTCTTTCCTCGAGCATCCTGGTTTAACCCATCTATCCATGGCCATCTCAGTAAACTTTATTCCTGACAACAAGCTTCAGTGACCTGAATGGTGGCCCCCAAAAAGATATGTTCAGGTCCAGATCCCAAAAAATCTGTGAAGGTGACTTTACTGGGAAAAAGAGTCCTTGCAGGTGTGATTAAGGATCTTGAGATGAGGAGGTCATCCCAGTGAGCTCTACATGCAATGATGGGTGTCCTTGTCTAAGAGAAAGAGGGTATTTGAGACAGATAGAAGAGGCGGAGTCAATGCGACTACAGAGGCAAAGATTGGAGTGATACAGCCACAAACTGAGGAACAAATGGGGCCACCAGAAGCTGGAAGAGGCCAGGAAGGATGGGCCTCTAGTGCCTTCAGAGGGTGCCTGCTTCCACCTCGACTTTGGACTTCTGGCCTCCAGAACCATGATAGAATGAAGTTCTGTTGTTTTCAGCTGTGCAGCGTGTGGGTAACTGGTGACAGCAGCCACAAGGAAGTAACTCACACACAAGCTGACTTGGGTTTCTGACTGGAGTGTGAGTTGCTATTTGCAGGAGAATTTGTGATCTCATCCCTCAGGCCCAAGAGCTGGTCGGGTCCTGTTCTGCCCTTGGCTGGAAAGGGAATCCCGAGGTTGCATCTGCTGCTTGGGTGTGGAGCTCTGGGCTGGAGCAAGATGAGAAATGGGCCTATTTATAAATGAACAGAGCCAGAGGGCGGGTGTGGGGTCGGCCGAGGGCTTCACCAAGGTCAGAGGCCCAGTCCCAGGGGGACAGGAGCATTACAGAGAAGAGCAAAGCCCTGAGAGGAAGGCGGGGGCCACGCCAGGGCACTTGTGGCCTCTCTGAGCAGCGAGGCTGTGGTCTCTTTCTGAAAGGCCTAACATAGGAATGCCCAGCTGGCTTCCAAGTCATATCTGGTGTCTCAGGCGAAGGGCAGGCCCCAGTGGGTGGGAGCAGATTCTTTCCTGCTGCCTCATTGCGGCTCCGAGAAAGGAAGTGTGAGTGCCCAGGGTGGGCACCCTGCACACAACCGCAGCCCATCCGTGGGCAGTTGAGCCTGCCATCTCGGGGGGATGCTGTCACGGTGAGTGGGCCTCTGTGCACGTCTGAGTTTCCTGCTCTCTTGGCAAGGCCAGGTTGGAGGGACTTAGTGGGCGGCGTCTCAGCCTCGGGCCATCACACAGAGGGCAGGCAGGAAGCTGTGCACAGTGCCAGGGATGCAGGGGGACAGAGACCCTACTGATGAGTGGCTGAGTTGGACCAGGGTCCACCCTCAGCCCATCCAGTGCTGGGCACAGCTGGGCAAGAGGAAATCCCAGCACACTGTCTGGTTTACTCAGCCCCTCCCACAGCTCTGTGCTGGGAGGTGCCTGCCCTCTGCACCAGGGGCCTGGGAGCTGGCAGAAGCCTTTCTCCAGGGCAGGAGCAGCCTCTGGCCCAGCTACTGGTGAGGAACCCTGGATTCCTTCACATCAGTGACCATACCATGTGCACGCCTCTGAGTCTTATGGCCTTCAAGCACCTCTACCTGAAGAAGTCCATCTCTGACTGAGGAGCTTTAGCAGGAAGAAGCATGGTTGCAGCCTTTTGCCTGCTCAGGCCTAGAAGGGACAGCTTTAGTAAGCCTCGAATCCCAGCTCCATGCCCTCCTTAGCTGTGTGACATTGAGCAAGTCACTCAACCTCACTCAGTCTTGTTTCTCACCTGTGAAATGGGGATAACAGGCCTACTTCGTTGAGCTGCTAGGGAGGTTAAATGAGACAATAAATGTGACCAAAGCTCTAATGTAATGCAGATGTAATTACACTAAGAATCTTAAAATGAGGATATCATAATTATCCAGGAGGGCCCTAAATTTAGTGGCAACGTGCCCTTATAAGAAGAGACACGCAAAAAGGAGAGAGATGCCTGGACAGCCGAAGCCAGGTGAAGATGGGGACGGAGATTGGGGCAATGCGGCAACAGCCGCGGAAGCCACCAGAAGCTGGAAGAGGCAGGAAAGGATCCTCCCCTGGAGCCTTCAGAGGGAGCACGGTCCTGCCAAAACCTTGAGTTCAGACTTCTGGCCTCCAGAACCATGAGGAATAAACTTCTGTTGTTCTGAGCCACCTAATTTGTGTTAATTTGTTAAAGAAGCCACAGGAAACTAATACAACAACCTGCAAAATGGGCTAGTAATACGTACCTCTTACTTTTGTGGGAGGATTTTTTAAGTGTTCATAAAAGAAAAAATCTAAAGATCCAATCATCAGAGATAGGTATAGATTATCTGCACATTGACATGAAGAAATAGCATGCAGCCATACAAGAAAGAAGTTTGTAGACAGTAGTGACCAGGCAAATGTTCACGTTCTGGTATCATGTGGGGAAACGTGAGCCACAAACTGAGGAACAAATGGGGCCACCAGAAGCTGGAAGAGGCCAGGAAGGATGTGCCCCTAGTGCCTTCAGAGGGCGCCTGCTTCCACCTCGACTTCGGACTTCTGGCCTCCAGAATCATGATAGAATGAAGTTCTGTCAAAATGTAAAATTGCAAATGTCTCTGAACCTAATTTTGTTTTTTAAAAATATGCTGACACTTTGGCAGGCTGAGGTGGGTGTATCACCTGAGGTCAGGAGTTCGAGACCAGCCTGCCCAACATGGCGAAACCCCATCTCTACTAAAAATACAAAAAATTAGCTGGGCGTGGTGGCAGCAACCTGTAACCCAGCTGCTTGGGAGGCTGAGGCAGGAGAATTGCTTGAACCTGGAAGGTGGAGGTTACAGTGAGCTGAGATCATGCCATTGCACTCCAGCCTCGGCAGCAGAGTGAGACTCTGTTTCAAAAAAAAAAAAGTATTCTGAAAAAAGAAAAAAATAACACTGACCACTGCTGGGCAATATGATACCATGTTCTTTACTTTCTTTGCTGTTATTTTTTTCCCAAATGCTTCTCAATGAATATATGTTACTTTTATTTTGAAAAAGTAAAAAGGAGCTGTTCTAAAATGATTTCTTCCCGCAAATAACACATAATTGTGCAAGAGTCACTGCAAGCCCACTTTCTTTCCACCTGCAATCTCATGACAGCCTTATAACAGCCCCAAAAGGAGGCCATTATTCCATTATTCTATGCTGCCATTATTCCATTCTGTAGGTGAGAAGGCCAGGTTCTGTGAGGAACTTGTCCGAACACAGAGATAGCCTGTGGCCCAGCCTGAGGGTCAAATGCAGCCTGTCAGCTCCTAGAGCCCATGTGAGGGAAGCCACATCCCTCATCCCAAAGACAAGGGCTGCTGCCCGAGCCAGGCACTGGCTGCCGCTATCGGCCTCCCTCTTTCCCGACCATGCCCACGGCTTGGCTGTGTCCATCAAGTTAGACAGCAGGTAAAAGTCTCAAGTGCCCTCCAGGCAGAGATAAATAATGGAGAGCAAGATCCAGGGATTCTGGTTTCTGATGTTTAAATGGAATGAAGGATAAATCATTTCTGCTAACTGTTTTTACCTGGCTGTGGGAAATGATGCATCACCGTCTTTTAAAAGAAAATTAAGCCTTTAATTCCATGGCACATGTAATAAAATGGTACTTCAGCTCTCTGCGCTGAATATATAGCCCGTCCTGTCCTAATTTACTATTTCGACATGGCCTGAAATGTTCTGAAGTTATTAATTTGGCAATATATTCAAGCACAAAACCCGGCCTTCAAAGGCTGTTGAAGCACTCAATTAACGCAATGGAAGGCTGTGTGGGAGCCAAGAGGGGCACATGGCAGGAGGCACCGTCCTGGGAGCTCTGGGTGCATGGCTCACCCTGCCACTGAGTGCTGGGGTGAGCTGGAGCCTCCATTTCTTCTTCTGTAAGGCAAAGACTATGGTTCCTAACTCACAAGCGTGCAGTGCCTGGCTCTCACCCTTTTCCTCCCTTACCTGCATACCAGGTTGCACTAGCCAGCTCATTCTCATTCTCTTCCAACACTGCCTCAAATGCTACCCTCCTTCTTCAGACTGTTTGACAGCCCACGGGATGACTGCAAATACACACATATGTGTGGAACTGCCCATCCCAAGGCTCTGAGCTGACACTCCCACTGTTTTTTGAAGAATAGGCCTTTGTGAACAGAGAGCTGGCCCGATGGTCCATGCAAAAACATACAGGGACAAAGTTTCAGTGTACGGTAAAGGACAAGGGCTTGGTAGATTCTCGACTCATGTTCATCTCCCTGCGTACTCTCTCCTCTTCTGCCCTCAGGTGATGCTGATCAGAGTAGCCACCACAGCCAATGGTCAGCTGATCCCACAAGCCCTCCCTGCTCCTTAGCAGTTGAAAGAGCCACTGCATGGAGACATCTGGATGGGAACACTGTGAGTGGCAGCCCTCCTGTCCTGCAGAAACTTCCAAATGGGCTCAAAGATACCACTAGAATCTCCAGGGCGAGACCCTCTCCTCAGCAGAGGGGCCCGTGCAAAGCAGTCCAGCCACCTCATGCCTTCTCCAGGGCAAAGCTTACCTCCTGTTTAAGGGACAGGATTTGGGGTAGTTAATTTAGCTTCTAGCAACTCACAGGGGAATTACAAACCTATGTTTGAGGGGGGAAAGCACGTATCAAATTCTCAATTATGGACCTGATCCCGCAGCAATGGGAGTGAGCCAAGACCCTTAAGCTGGTGACCTGAGGCAAGGACAATGGCTACTGGTGAGACTGATTTTCCAAAGGAGCCAGGATGCCCAGGCTACTGGCCAGGCGACCTTAAGCAAATTATTAGACAATAATAGTACCTCACTCTTAGGATTACCGTGATGATTAAAAAGGGTCAATATGTGACAATCACTCAGGGCTGTACCTGGCACATGGGCCCAGTCACCATGTGCTAGCTGGAGAATGTGCCAGCTTCCCAAAATTTCACCAGACCATAAGTGACACCCCCACATTCACAGAGAAAGTAAGGGTTCAGCACTAGGAGTCTCACTCAAGCTCATCTTCCTCATTTCTCACAGGCAAGCCTTCGGCCAGTAATACATACTCATTGAGAAGAACTGGAAAATATGTAACAAGCCTGCACGTTGTGTACATGTACCCTAGAACTTAAAGTATAATAAAAATAAATAAAAAATAAATAAATAAAAGAAAAAATTATGTCCCAAATGACCCCTTCTCTGCCCTCCATGAGCCTCGGGGCCACCTTTCCTCCCACCAGACCCCGGCAGTGGTCCTGCTCAGTCTCATCCTACAACAGCCTGCTTTCCATTCAGGGAAGTCTTTTTAAAGTGTAGTAGTAGATCGTATTGGCCCCTGATTGGAGCCACCATTGGCATCCTGTAACCGAATGAAATGCACACCCCATGCTCTCACCTTTGAGGCTTCATGTGGCCTGGCCCTCTCTGCTCTCTGCTCTCCTCTGGAGTCCCCTGCTCCAGCCCCCAGATGTAAATGCAAGAAAGCAGGGACTCTGTCTGTCTTGTGCACTCCTGTATCCCCTATTATCTGGTTCATGGTGGTTACAAAACAAATTCTTCTAGAATAAATGGATGATTCAAATCCATGTGAACAAACTACTGCACTGCACCACTGGATAGAGGGAATGAATGCTAATAAAAATAAATCACTTCAACTCATCTCCTTTCAGTCCCTTCCCCTAACCCGGGAGCCAGTGGGCCCAGAAGAGTGAAGAAGAAGTTTGCATACACCCAGGCTGTATCTGCAAGGGACAAGTTGGCCCAAGAGGGTCCACTGCATCAGCTGCACAGACTGTGGGCTGCACAAATCCAGGATGTGCCATTGGCCCGGAAGAACACTCCTGGAGTTTTAGATGGAGCAGTAAAGTACAGTAGCCCTGGATCTCTCAACCTCTCTATCAGGGAATGCTCCCACTAAGCCCCACCCCCTCAGCCTTGCCCAGACCCAGCTGTGCATCTCTGCCTCAACTGGTTTCTTCCTTGAGAATTCTCAACCAATAGACCAGGGAACACCACAGCTGATCATCGCTTTGGAGAGGAGGCAGATGGGGAGAGGGGGAGACTGTGATACTATCAAACGTGCTTTCAGTCCCATTTACATTGACTGTGCACCCCGAGCTCACCATTTTTCTGAGTTTTGAGCTCTGAGCACATAGAGATCTCAGAACATTTTGGCTGCACTGAAATGGATCTCTGTGTGGCGGGGCTGATCATAAAGCACATGTGTGACAGACTCAGTATACACGAATTCCACCAGTGTGAGGCCCTCCAGTTCACCCACATGGACTTGGCCTCACTTCCCCTTATGCACCATAACAGCCAGTGTGAAGCTACCGCTACTCCTTCCTGCAGATGAGGCCACTGGTGGCCCAAAGAGTTTCAGCGGCTGCCCAAGATCCCAAGCTGCTGGTGGTAAGACAATGACAATGCTGGCTCTGCTGATGGGCCCAACAGCTCCCAGTGGGCAGTAGTGTTTCCCTGAGGCCCATGGGGCATAGGAGTCAGAGACTTTGATCTTCAAGACTCAGCCACATGTGGATATCGGGGACCAACACTCTCTCCATCCCCACTCCACTCCCCATCTGCCTTCCAGGCACTCTGTGGGGTCTGTCCCTTGGCCTAAAATTGGAGTGGAGGGGAGGTGGGATTCATCTTGAAAACAAAAGCCCCACCCCGTAACTGAGCTTGGCTGTCAAGCTGAAGCCTGAAACTAAGTCTGAAAACCTGGGACAGTGCTGCTGACAGCCCCGATGACAGCCTAGCTGGGAGACTGGCTATATTTAGCCATTTGCTTGACCTAAGATGCTATCTATGAGCAGCAGAACCATAGCACTGGGGAGCAGGAGGGAGGTGGCAGAGAGTCGCCGCCCTCACTCCCATGCCGCCCCAGTTGTGCAGCCTCAGTTGGCTACTCCGGGCAAGTTTCCATTTTCTGAACACATTTTTGCTTCCAATGTTAGGGAGGTTTTGTAATCTGCTTAGTGCTTTTCACCTGAGAGAAACAGGCAGCACAGCAACCTTGTTAGGAGGCAGAAGCTAAAATCAATCAGCTTTGCTTGCAGCAGGAGGAATTTGAGCACAAGGGGATTAAGAAACACATCGGCTGTGGGTGGCAAAGCCAGTTTTCCTTTAGCATCCCTGAGTAATTACGGCATTAGCAGGGAGTTTGTGTGCATTGGCATTTACAGAGTTCTTTTCTGGGAAGGGAACTTGGGCTGTTCAGCAGGACGGACTTAAATCCTAGACAATGATGCCTCTTGCCTTAGGATTTTTGGAAAAATCAAATGAAATAGAACAGGAGAAGCATGCAGCATGATAAACGCCATGACTTTTTCTCCTCTTCCCTCCATCCTCCTAATTGAAGAGTTGTAGTTTTTGTCCATTTATCCCCATTCTACAGATGAAGAAACTGAAAGCAACACTCCAAGAAGGTGGTTTGCCTAAGTTCTCAGCCAGGACTGCAGCAATATTTGAGTTACAGACGCATCAGTGTTTCCCATCTCTGGGGTTGACTTGTGCTAAGTGGTTCAAGCAAATCAAGGCAGGGAGCACTAATTTTCCAGAAGCAATCTTACCTCTGCTGTTTGAAGTGTTACAAAATTGGCCCGAGACTACTTCTGTCAGCAGCCCTGCACAAGGCTGCTGAAAGCACTTTTAGCACCTGATTAAAAAGGAGGCTTTATTTTCCTGAGCAATTACCAGCCTGCATCTCAGGATCTTATCCCAAAGATGAGGAGGAAGAATGATGGAAAGCTCACCACCTGACACTTTCCCAGATTCGAGGCCCTGTCAGAGCTGGAAAGGAAGACACAGCTGTCCCTCACCCCCCACGATGAAAACTCCTGCTTGCTGCAGAGCTCCCAGCACATAGAGACCTCAGAACATGGCACATGCAGGCAAGGCCAGGCCACCCAGTGCTTTTTAGGTCAAGCATCTAGGTGTAGGCTGTGACCTGGTTGCTGGGGGACTTGGAAACAAAGCAAAGAAAAGAGCTAGCCTGACATGCAGTGCTCCTGTGGGAATGTCACCTTTTCATTTCCCGAAATAGCTCTGCTTGGGAGCTTTTTAGCCTCACAGTAAATTAAAAAAACAGACACTCAGGAGATGACCTCCTGCCCACAATCATATGGCCAGGAGCATAGCAGAGAAGGGATTCAAACCTAGGACTATGCCCTTAGCGGCACTCCACCTTACACATCGCTGCCACAGGGCACCCTGTGCTGCCTTCTAAGAGAAGCTCAGGGTCTGTGTCCACCCAGGCTTGTTCCATTTGGTCTCCCTATCAGTAACCAGGAACCCAAGAAGGGTGCCGTGCCTTGGTGGTGACTAAAAGACCACTTCCCCCAATCCACATGCCATGTGCTCACCAGGCATCCTACTCAGCACTCTACATCTGGCCTGTGACATCACCAGGGGTGTCTCTGTGGAGCTGAGGCTCCGTACTAGCAAGAACTGGTAAAATGAAAATACCTAATGCTGCCAAAGATGGGCTCAAACAGGAAGGCTTACTCATTGCTGGTGGTGGTAGTGGAAAGTGATTTTGCAACATGTATGCATAGAGAGCTTAATAATGTGTGTCTCTCTGACCCAGTAATTACATATATGCAAACATATCTGAAGGTAATAAGTCTAAATAAGTTTTACCTATAAACATCTTCATCGTGACATTTTGTAAAGAACCACATAACATCAAAATCCCATCGCATGAATATTAAGCCATTAAAAAATAGTGTTGGCCAGGTGCTGTGGCTCACGCCTGTAATCCCAGCACTTTGGGAGGTTGAGACAGGTGGATCACGAGGTCAGGAGTTCAAGACCAGCCTGACCAATATGGTGAAACCCCATCTCTACTAAAAATACAAAAATTAGCCAGGTGTGTTGGTGTGCCCTTCTAGTCCCAGCTACTTGGGAGGCTGAGGCAGGAGAATCATTTGAACCAGGGAGAAAGAGGTTGCAGTGAGCCAATATCACACCACTGCACTACAGCCTGGGTGACAGAGCGAGACTCCATCTCAAAAAGAAAAAAAAAATGTGTTTCAGAAGAATTCATAGTAACATGATCATGCTTTTGATATAAAGTTTCATGAAAAAAAGGTTATGAAATTATCCAGATCATAACTATAGGAAAAAAGGAAGTAAAAACTATAAATGAATTGCATTTAATTGGCATACAGGACTATGGGGGAAGTTTTTGCTTGTTTTTTTATCAATAAACTTTATTTTTAGAGTAGTTTTAGATTGACAGCAAAGTTGAGCAGAGGGTTCAGAGATGTCCCCATCTATACCCCTGCCCCACACACGTTCATAGCCTTCCCCATTAGCAACATTCCTGGGTGCAGTTTTTTTTCCCCACTTTCCCTTTTTTCCCCCAAAATTGCCTATGATGAGAAAAATACATTTTTTCAGGAAAGAAGGGAGAAAGGAAATGCAAGAAGAGGACTCCTTCAACTCAGAGAAAGACACAGACAGGTTCCTGGCCCTTTTAACTTGCAGTACACATTTTTATTTCACCAGCTGTAGGAATTCCTCACCATTTGAAGTGTGTGACCCAAGCATATTCCCCCAGCGAGGGCAGGTCATGACAATGCTTTTCCAACACCCCAAACCTCCTGAACCCGCCAAATTCCAGCCCACCTCCTAGGGAAACCTCCTGGCTCCCTCTTCGGCTCCCTGAACTTTAGGCAATCTCTCCCTTGGATGCCGAGCCCTTCCCACCTGCAGCCACAGCCGGAGAAGACTGCCTTGCCCCAGTGCCCAGGCCTGCAGGGTCCCTGGTAATACAACACAACCTGCAGGGTCGGCCAGCGGCCAACAGGGGGCAGCGTGCTGAGCCTGGTGGGGGCCGCCAGTGCCTGTGCATCTCAGGGTCCCCGGTACCCAGAATCCAGGGAGCGCAGGAACACTGTCTGGATGAGTAGCTGGGTCCGCAGGCTATGTTCAGCACTCTTAGGAGCTTTAAACTGGGGAGTGGGTTTTTCTGGGCAGTGATGGAGTTCGCGTGCATTAGACAGCCCCGGAGGAAGAGTGGCCTATATCCACCTGCTTTGGTCTCTTTGTAGGTCATTCTAAGGGCCAGTCCCACTCAATTGTGCTGCAGAGAAAAAACGCCTGGCTTGCCCTCCACCTCCAGGATACATTGGATGGGACTCCTTCCTCTCAGGGCGTTGGTCTCCCTGGGTATGGAGTGACGAGACGCGATGCCCTCCTAGAGGCATCCATGAAGCTGCCTATGGCTCCATCCGAGACCCTTGTGTGTACGACCAACTCTCAGTGTTGAAGCATTTCCAAAATATGGAACATTTTAGAGGATACATTTATTTTTTATGGCATACATAATGACATCTACAGAGAATTCAGGGTAAAGGCCTTAGAAAATTAAGCCCCAATAGTAGAAATCAGCTTCGTATCTTTTTGGTAAGATGACATGAAAAGTCTAACCCACAAAACTGCCCATGTCACAGAAGTGCACGCACACACACTCTCAGACACACATGCACACACACACTTTCGCACACTCACACTTTCACACATGCACACACACACACCTGTAAGCATTTCCCTTATCACCACCACTGCTCAAATGACTGAATTGTAAGGGCACATGGAAAATTTTTAAGAATGGAATGACCCAACAGAATTTTAAAAGGAAAAGATGATGGTTGGGTCTGAATTAGGAGGAAATGACACCAGGAAAATGGAGACAACAAGCTTTGTGCTGTGACTTAAACGAGATCAAAGACCAGGCCATGTTCACCTTTCTGTGGGAGGGACGCATTGAGAGGCAGTAGTGATGGCTTTGGGTCCAGTGGACTCACTGGAGACAAAGAAGCCTCCTGGCACTGCTGTCTGTTGCTAACCCATCAGCCTGGACCCAGAGAGGCAGGGTCTGTGCAAAAAAAGCCTCTTTCAAAGAGTACAAACAAATCACTCTCCTAACTGAGCCGCCAACCTCAGATAAAGTATGGAGCTAAAAGTTCCCTACACATTGTCTATGCTTAATATAACACGACAATGCCAGGGCCATATTATGCCTGCTTCCTAGAGAAGACAACTGAGGTACAGGGTGGATAAATAACTTGCCCACACCCACACAGCTAGTAAGAGGCCAAACTGGAATTTGATGCCAGATGCCAGCTCTCTTCTCTGATTGCCTCTCCATCCCGCCATCCGGGAGGGTGGGGAGGGAGCGCAGGGGTGGCCAGCATTCCTTAGAGGAGGTGGAAAACATTCCCTGAGGTCACAGCTCTGCGTTAAGTCTTGCTCTCTTTCAAGCCCAGCCGCGCTGGAGGTTTCCTCTCCACTCCGGGCAGGCCCGGCATTTCGACAGCAATGGCTATTAAAATAGTTCCCCAAGGGTGTGGCCTGGGTTTAGTGGCTTTATCTTGCTCTACATTAAAACGACGGTCAATGGCAGTCTCATTTTCTGGCAGATGTCATTCTCCCTGATGCCCTTGGTGGTGGTGACATCACATCCATGTCTGGCCTGCCTAGCGAGGCCATCCTTTAAGAGTTCTTCCTCTTTGATGTAATTGAGACTCTTACACCCTAGTTAATTGGGGTTTTGTTTGAGGGGGAGGGGTGTCCTAGGTGGGAGGTTGTTTATATGTTTATTGGATAAATCTAGTTTATGTGAAAGGCATACCTGTATGGTATATATGTCATTGCTTTCTTTCTTGGCTCCTCATGTCCCTTGCAGTGAAGTCAGAACCAGGGATCAGACCCTTCTGGATCCCCTTGGCTCCAGGCCCTTGTCTTTACAGGCCCCCGTGATCTCCGGGGAAGGGGCTCACAGGGCATCTGATCTGGAGTCTGGACCTCAGCCTGGGTTCCAGCTGTGTCTCCCACTGGCTGTCTGACTCTGGACAAACCACGTCGCCCCCTGGACCCAGTCTCCCCACCTACGAAGTGTGACGGTGGCAGGAGGCAATGTGTGGAATTGTACTGTGAAGACCAAAGGTTATAGAAAACCCTCTTGCTGGTAAAAACATAGCTTTCTGGGCCCACCCCTAGAGTCTCTGATGCAGTGGAGCCTAAGAATCTGCATTTCTAACAAGCTGCAAGGTGCTGATGCTGTCAGCCTGGGGCCCACACTGAGAGAACCTCTTAGAACTTTTTAGAATGCAGAACTTAGAGAACTTCTGGTGAAGAGTGAAGTACCATGTGGTGAGAGGCACTTGTTATGGGGACACAGGGCAGTGGGTCACCACCCAAGGAAAGCCGAGACCACACTGCCATTCTGCACACTTCAGGGTAGTCTTTCCTGACTCCAGATAAGCTGGATGCTTGCTTAAAAACAAAAAAAACAGACTGTTGGGCCCAACCCAGATTTACCAAATTAGACATTCCTGGGAGAGACCTGGTCATCTGTTTTGTACCAAGCCTCCAGGCAAGTCCTGTCTTCAGAGGCATTTGGGAGATGCTGCAGCTTCACAACCAGTTCCAATCGAAAAAATAGTATAGGAAAGCAAATGTCCCACCCCCCCAAGTGGGGACATGGATAACAGTGACAGCTCAATTTCCATGAGGAAGAGGCACCCTGCAGCCTGGCAATAGAAACCTCATAAGGCCTGGAACTGGGGCCTCTGTTGAGGGTTTTTGATGGCATCAGGAAGCAGGATCCTAAGTGGGCTGCCCAGAGTGGCCTCATTGCCAGCACCAGGAGAAACCTGCCCACAGGCAAGGTATTCACCCGCCTCTCCACGGGGGCCTGTGTCTCCTCTTTGACCCCAAGGATCTCACACGGACCCCTGCCTGGCTGCATCTCAGACTCCCCTGGGAGGGTTTGGAACCTTCTCCCTATATGGCTGAGCACCATTCCAGCCCCATTCAGGCAGAAACACCAGGGGTGAGCACAGCCTCTACAGTGCTGGGTGTTCCACGGGTGACAGAGCACACCCTGAAGCTGGGAAGCTCCGCACTGAGTAAAAGGGAAGAGGCTACACAGTGGGTCACCCAGGCTCTCGCCCTTGGCCGTCTGTGCCCATCTTATCTACACAAAGTGAGACAAGACAGTTCCTGACCACACAGCATGTCCTAGCATGAGGACTCTCTTTTAAGTTGTGTTTAGATGCCTGTTTAAACTATTTTTTAAAAGATGCTCCACATCACTAATCATCAGGGAAATGCAAATCAAAACCTCCATGAGATACCACCTCCCACCCACTAGGATGGCCATTATCAAAAGAACAGAAAATAACAAGGGTTGGTGAGATGTGGAGAAATTGGACGCCTTGTGCACTGCTGGTGGGGATGAAAAATGGTGCAGTCACTGTGTATGGTGGTTACTAAAACAATTAAACACAGAATTACCATCTGATCCAGCAATCCCACTTCTGGGTATTTACACAAAAGAAACGAAATCAGAGACTTGAACAGACATTTGTACACTGGTGCTTGTAGCAGCATTATTCACAATAGCCAAAAGGGGAGGCAACTGCAGTGTCCATCAACAGATGAATGGAGAAACAAAATGTGGTTCGCCCATACAATAGAATACTACTCAGCCTGTAAAAGGAAGGAAGTTCTGACACATGCTACAACATGGGTGAATCTTAAGCACATTATGCAAAGAGTAAGAGGCCAACCACGAGACAAATATTGTGTAATTCCACTGATGTGAGGAACATAGAGTCATCAAAATCACAGAGACAGAAAGTAGAATGTGGTTGCAGGGCCTGGGGGAAGGAGGATGGGGAGTTGTTCACGGATACAGAGTTTCAGTTTTGCAAGGTGAAGAGTTCTGCACAGCAATGAGAATGTACCTAACACTACAGAACTGTATACTTAAAAATGGTTAAGGGCCAGGTGCAGTGGCTCACGCCTGTAATCCCAGCACTTTGGGAGGCCGAGGTGGTGGATCATGTGAGGTCAGGAGTTCAAGACCAGTCTGGCCAACATGATGAAACCCCATCTCTGCTAAAAATACAAAACTTAGCTGGGCGTGGTGGCAGGCGCCTGTAATCCCAGCTACTCGGGAGGCTGAGGCAGAAGAATCACTTGAACCTGGGAGGCAGAGGTTTCAGTGAGCAGAGATCGTGCCACTGAGCGACATGCCTGAGTGACAGAGCAAGACTCTGTCTCAAAAAATAAAAATAAAATAAATAAAAATGGTTAAGATGGTAGATTTAATGTTACATGTATTTTACCACAATTTAAAAAGAAAATCATAACATTTTTACAAAACTGATATTTTGTGGAAATGACTAAGGCACCTTTCAGGATAAAGTAGATTTTTATCAGGCCTGGTGCGATGGCTCATGCCTGTAATCCCAACATTTAGGGAGGTCCAAGCGAGAGGATCGCTTGAAGCCAGGAGTCTGAGCCCCTCCTGGGCAACAAAGTGACACCCTCCCTCTACAAAAAATAAAAATAATAAAAATAAATGAGCCAGGCATGATGATGTGCACCTGTAATCCCAGCTATCCAGGAGGCTGACGTGGGAGGATCCCTTGAGTCCAGGAGTTTGAGGCTGCAGTGAGCTATGATCATGCTAGTGCACCCCAGCCTGGGCAACAGAGTGAGATACTGTCTCCAAAAAAAAAAAAAAAAAAGAAAAGTAGATTTTATCTGAACCAAATGCTGGAGTCAGGGCTTGTGCTAAGGGAAGCATGGCATGTCTGTGTCAGTTTTCAAAACATCTCCTTCCAAAGGCACACAAGAACCTAGCGGACATTCCACTCTCTTCCCAAACACAGAAATAATCTAGGGAACAATTGTAAGCAAAGAACGTTGGTCACAGAAGTTCTTGTATCAATGCTGGGTACACATTTACGATTGTGCCTATTCATTGACTCCTCCGTGCTTCATTCATTTGTTTATTCTTCACTCTAGTGTAGAATTAAAAAAGTGTTGCCAGGCCAAGGAGAGACAGAGGGAGCAGAGTACAGGCTGTAGCCAGCAGGTCCCTTTAAGGAGAAGTGGCCCAGTGCAGAGGAATAAGCAAGAAGATAGAAAGAGAGACCAGAAAGAGGAGAGGCCAAGGAAGCCGCCACAGGCTGTGGGGGGCACCGGAGGCCTGCAAAGGGAGAAAGGAGCCTGCAGGGCATCCTGTGGGGAGCTGGTTTCAGGAGGCCCTGGGCTGTGCCTGGTTCTCCTCTGCAGCCCCAGCCCCTGGCACACAGTAGGGACCCAGCAAGTGTTAGCTTGCAACATGCCAGAACACGGCTAAGTTTGTAAGAAGCACAAAAGAGCAGCCCAATCTCAGCCTGAGGATAAATTTAAAGCTCAGACCTTCACCCAGCGGCCACCCACCTGTGTCTTGGAGGCCTCCATCTTTGGCTGGGGCACTTTGGGGAGAGCCCCTCCGCACACCCAGTCCTCTCCTAAGCCAGCGATAGATCATTTTCATTTCATTCAAATTGAACAGCAAGACTAAACTCAGATCAATTTCTGATCAGCTTCATTTCTTAGGCTTTCTCAGAGAAGACAAATCCATTAAACACCCCCCTGCTCCCCTCCACGAGGCGCTGAGCTCCCCTTGGCAGCAAGACGAGAGCTCTTGAGGATAAAGACTCATTTTATGTGGATCAGTGGCTGGCTTATTGTAGGTGCTTAATAAATATTCAATCATAACAATCTTAATTACTGGATTACATCATGTCTGTCTTAGGGTAGGATATAAATAAATAACGCGATAATAATAATGAGACTAACGGAGGGCTGCTCAGTTTGAGTTCCCACTACTTACTACACAGGCAGTCTTAATAAATTTGGGTGGATTTCATATTTCATGAAGACGTATCTGCTAACAGCAGGTAAACATTTCTGAAGATAAGCCTTATGTAGTATTAATGTGAGCAGAAGAGTTCCTGGTTTCCTGTTCTATGTCCTCTTGGAACTTAATTCAAGTCGATGTGGTATCCAGTGCTCCCCGTGTTCAGGGACAGCCACAAGCAGTGTTGGGAGGAAGACGGGACTAGTTGTCAGGGCATCTGGCACTGCAGTTGGCTTGAGGTGAGACCGGGAGGCAGGTTAGCTTTGTTGTGATCCAGCGATTGTCTCCAACACAGCCGAAGCCCAAGAATAGAGCCGCAAATACAGAAGTCTTCTGGCCTGGCAGGTTCTGTAAATGAGTGAAGGTAGCAGGTGGTTCGCAGGAAGGCACAGGCTCTGTCTGAAGGACAGCCCTGCTCAGCTCAGCCCCTGCCCCTATATGAGAATGCCACCCTGTGGTGCCTGATATCCCATTAAAATGAGCCAGAAATGGAGCAATCAACACAAAAATCTCTTGATTTTTAAATGCTGCTATCAATCCAAATTATTTTAGGACAAAACACACCTGTGGCATTTTGGGCCTCCTCTGGCCCTGGGCTATACTAGGCATGTCTGGAGCTCAGAGCCAGGGGTGTGCAAGAAAGGCATGTACAGGACCCTCCATGAAGGCCAGGAGTGGGAAACCGAGGGAAAAGCCCCTGGCCAAGGGGCTGCACGTCCAGCTCTGGGCTCTGGCACCAGCTGTTATTCACTGGACTCACCATGTGACTCTCCATAAGTCTCCAAGCCCATGCTCCCAAGGCTGGAAAGTGGAGGGTGATGAGGCTGCTGGGGCTGTGCCAAGAACCAGTGCAAGAGAGACAGTGACAGGAAGCCCTCTGCAGACCCGACAGCACCACACCGAGGAACAGCGACGAGTGGATGCCCAGAAACTTACATGGAAGCCTCAGAGCTCCCTGAATTCTGGCCTCTGGAAGCCTCTCGAAACTTCAAGAAGCAGAGCTAGTCTGGAGGAGTTGAGACCCGAATGTCAGATAGCGACCCCAGAGAGAAGACTGTGGCCTGCAAACCTGCTCATCAGAGGGCACACAGTCTGGCTCTGCCCTGACCTTGCACAGCATGCAAGGCCCATCCCACTGTGAGTATCTGTTTCCTACTCTGTGCTCTAAAAGGCTCCGGCCTGAAGAATGCAAAGGAACTTCCTCTAGTGTGTGAGGGCAGGGGTATTGCCATACTGCTTTCCCCAGCAGGAAGCCCCACAGCTCTGACAAAGTGGAAGGTGCATGAGCTGGGCCGCCCATCTGTGGACACAAGCACCTCTGCCTCCCTGCTGGGGCCGAGGTGACCCTTTGAAGCAAAGACAATGCCATAAAGGAAACTTGGGACCTGCAAGGCTCCAAGAAGCATCTCCCTGCCCCAGACACAGGTCACCAGGCCACAGCACTGGCCCCTGGGGAAAGTCCACTGACCAGCCTTTGGGAGAAAGTAGATAGCTCTGGGCTTTCTAGAGAAACTCCACCTGCACTGGGGTATTTTTATCCCCACCATCCCATACATCCATTCTAGGGGCATTAACATCACAGGTGAAATTAGCCACTCACCTTCATGTGGGTCCAGCAGGAAAAACCTCAGGGACCCTTGTGGGGTGGGGAAATGGAAAGAGTCCCTCGTCCAAAATAAGACCAGGTGTTCACTCTGCTGCAAGTCACCTCAATGAAAAATGCATTGTTTTTTAAAGAAGAAATCAACACACATACATATTCTTCTTCACTATTTGTTGTTTAGGCATTTTTTCTCTAATGCCTGGTGATACAGTATTTGAGACTATCTTAATATATAAATACATTTTTGCATGAATATTCATGTTTTTACATTAATATATGACCTCCATTTTTTACTTGGTTACTCAACAATCTATCATAAATATTTTCTCCTTTTTTAAGTTTTTAATTTATAAGGGCAGCCCCAGGCAACCAATCTGTAAAGTTGGATGTTTAATTGTTTCTGATGTTTTGTGTACTTGCCCATGTTTGTAGGGCTGTTGGCCTCCCTGAAGCCACTTTATATCAAATAACCCTAAGTGAGGTGACCAGACAGACTGGAGTCTGCAGGACGGGCCACCTCCTCTGCCATGTGGCCTGAGGGACAGTCTCAGATCTCACCCTGGCTCCCGCAGGGCCCCACCCACATTCTCTTATTCCCTGCCTGTGTCTCTCTCCTTCCCAGGAGCTCCCACCTCCTCGTCAGCTCCCTCTGACCCTCTCTGTCTTCGCTGCCCCAGGGAATTTTCCATTTTTTAAATTATGGAACATTTCAAATGTACACAAATGTAAAGAGGATAGTACTACAAATGCCCAACTTCAGAAAAATTTCTTCAACTATACCTCAAACCACTTCTCCGTACACTGCATTACTTTGAAGAGGTCCCAGGCGTTGGCTTTCATTGATAAGTATTAGTGTAGGTCTCTCTGAACGGTAAAGCCTCTTTTATCAACATAATGCTACTATCACTTCTAAACAATTAGCAGCAATTACTTAATATAATCAAATACCTAGGCAGCCTTCACATATCTCTGGTTGTCTTATAAATTTTTGCTGGAATCAGGATGCAGAGAGGGTCTATATATGACATTTGGTCAATGTGTCTCTAGCGTCTTTTAATCAATAGATCTCACCTGCCTTATATTCAACAATGTGTTTGTTATACAAATTGGCTCTTGTCCTGCAGAATTTTCCACAGATTTTTCCAATTTTCCTGGATCCTGCCAATTACTCCCTTATGGTGTCATTTATCTGTTTCCTGTGTTCCTGCTCTTCCTGTCATCTGGGAGTTAAATCAAGGTTTAGAGGCTTGTTCTGTTGAGATTTGGTGTTTTGGCAAGAACACTTCCTGTATATTTTCATAGGTAACCCAGTAGCAATTATTGTATTAAGCTGTGATTTCATCAGAGCCTTGAAAATTTATAATATTCTAGTTTGCCTTACATCTTTATCTTTACTTTTAGAGAAACCCTCCTTCATCAACCGCTTAGTGGCTTGGACTATTTGGTACAGTTCACATAGCAGAGTCAGGCTAAGTTCCCAACCCTGGCCCACTTCTCAGGAGAATGAAGCTGCTCCTTGAGTCTTGCTAAGGGACCAAGGAATGCTGTCTGAGCTGTTATTTTTCTTAGTAGTGTTATGAACTCATGAGTTAAACACATTGCATGTGTTTTCTATCCATTCCAGTTTTCATCCCTACTGATGTACACACTATTCCGTCATCTTTCCTAGTGGGAGCCTCCCAAAGTCAGCTCCTTGGCTCTCATCACATGATCCCAGGAGATTTTCACAGCCTTCTTGCCTTTCTGGTGACGCCAAAGTTCCAGACTCTTCTTACACATTTTCTGTTCTTTTTAATGAGAAATGGTATCTAGAGACAAAAATCTAGGTATAAACGATGCTCATTGCTATTGTGTTGGCTATGGCTTCTAGATCTTATCAGTTAAGAAATAATTTTTTAAGAGAAAGTAATTAAGAGTTCATACTGATATTCAAATATATGCATAGAGTGTTACTTAATATTTTGGTTTTATATTTGCATCTTCTTTCTCTAACACTAAAAATCTTGCTTTGAATGACATGAACATACTTACCAATTTAAGCTAATCCACCACATTGGCTTCTGACAAACCCCTGTTCCAGGAAGTTCTCTAAGATTTCCCATTTATCTGTTATTCCTTGAGTTAGAGCAGGAGCTGACTGTAAATCCTGCCCTTAGCTCAAATAACATTGATGTTGTCACACTTCAATTGTCTTACACGTCCCTCCTGAGCCACCCCTCCCCTGTGGTATATGAGCCCTGGGTCTGGGGGTAGGGGCACAGGGATCCATCATCTTGTCTTGTCACCACCCGAGACACAGACATGCCTTCTGTTTATAAGTCCCTATTAAATATTTCTAAGAAAAAAACCCATACTTACCTATTTGCTCTATCTGTCATCTATCAATATTTCTAAGAACAGTTTAAGATTTTATTTAAAATTCATAATTTTGTGTTCGGGTATATTCCCATTATGGGTTAAATCAAATTACTTATTTGAAAAACATTTGATATAATTTCCTTTTGTGAAATCATGCCACCTATGCATTAGGTTCATTTGTTTCATTTTGCTCTCAGTTTTTAGGTGCTTCTTTTTTAAATTTTTTGATTTAATTTAGTTTTAAAATTCTGGAAGGTATGTCATGGGTCCAAGTCAAATCTACCCAAAAAAAGTGTAGATTCAGGGAAACCTAGCTCCTTTTCCTTATCCCACCAGCCTGTTTTCTTTCTTCCCCATAATCATTTTGTAATTATTCTATGGTTTTCTTTTAATATCAGGAAATCCATATAAATAGGCATACATCTATAATCTCTCCTTCAGTGAATGGTAAACACACTGTACCCATGTTTCTCCCCCTTGTCCTGGGAATTACTTCCTGCAAGGATGGAGAGATGGTCTTCATTCCTTTCTACAGCTGCGTAATGCTGCATGGCAGGGAGGTACCCAGCTTCTTGGTCCTCCACTCACCACCTCCTCAGCCCCTAGCTCCCAAGTTCTCAATCATTTCAGACCTGCTATTGCCCTCCAACCCAACCACAAGAGAGCCAAGGCAATCACAGTTATGACAAAATGACTTCATTAGCTTATTGTACCTACCCATGCTAAGCACTTGCATCATCCCATTTAATATTTGCAACAGTCATATGACATAGGTACCAAATGGAGGTTTGGAGAAATCAAGTCATATGTCCAAGGTCACACAGCTGGTGTGAGGTAGATCTGAGAGTGCAGTGCTTAAGACCCTGTGGCCAAAATTCACAAACTTAGCAGCTCAGCTACAGACTCTCCTGGCTGTACCACCTGGAGTTCTGTGTGGCTCTGCCCAGCAGCACACAGAGAAGTGGAAATAGATGGCTGGACATACCTGGCACCTGTGAGCCATACCCAAAGGCTCCTGGGAGGCCAGACCTCAGAGAGCAATAGGGCAGGATGGGAACCCACCTAAGCCAGGTGCCAGAACCCCCTGCAACCAGCCCAAGCCCCACCTATGCCTAGTTCTGTGACCTTGAACCATTTATTCAACCTCTTAAGCCTCAGCTCTCTTGCCAGTAAATCACCTCAGAAATGTAGTGAGGAGAAAAGGAGGTTACAAATGAGAAAGCAACCAGAAGTGCCTGATCCACAGGAAGTGCTCAGTAAATATTTGTTGAGTCAAGTTAAGTAGAAAGCCACTTTTGAACAGCAGCTCCCAGGAAATCATCCACAGCAAGCGTGGAAGAGAGTCCGTGCAGCCTGTCCAGGAACAGGTGCTCTTTCTTCTCCAAGGGTGACCCCTGGACCAGCAGCATCAGCATCACCTGAGGACTTATTAGAAATGCACATACCCAGGCCCCACAGAGGACCCACTGAAGCAGGAACTCTGAGGGAGGGCCCCAGCAATCGGTGCTTCCTCCTTCGGGGGACTTGAGAACCACTGCTCACACTCATTCATTTCACATGAAGTGCACGGAAGAACATGAGGCAGGCAAAGTAGATGTCGTCTTGGAATTGCTTTCTGGAAGAAGGGAGTGCATAGACAGAGCATAGCCCAGGAACAAAGAAGTGGGATGGTTTCTGTTAGTGATCATGACCATGAAGAATAGAGTGAGGGGTGTGACAGAGGTCAGCTGGGGTCGGGGTGAGGGTCTCTAGATAGGATAGCCAGGAAAAGTCTCTCTGAGGAAGTGACACTTGAGCTGAAGCTTGAACGGTGAGAAGGAAGCACCCATGTCAGGATCAGGGCAGAGCGCTCCAAACAGAGGATCCGATAGGCAGGTGCAAAGGCCCTGGGGCAGGGTGGAGCTGCATGCAGAGAGGGGCAAGAAGCCCGTAAGGCTGGAGCTGGTGACTCTTACCTTGGTCCACCTCTGAGGCTAAAACAGTCCTGCACTAAACCCTGCAGCCACAGTGGGTGTGGGACAGGTACACAGTGGTCTTCCTCTCCCTGCTCCCTGTTCTCGTTATGGGAAAGAGAACAGGTGGCACCTGGGGTGCAGAGTAGCAACAGCACGCTTGGGCTTTGCATTCCAGCCCTGCCTTGACAGTCTCTTTCCCCTCAGCCAGGCTGCTCTACGGAATCCCTGCTCTGCTTCTGCACTGGAGGTGGAAGCACCTCTTCCAAGAAGGCCCTGCTTCCACCACCGTGTTAGTGACATGGCACCAGGGGAAAGAGTGGTCTGAGGAGAAAGGGAACCCTGACTTTGACACCAGCTCTGCTGCCAAGTACGTAATTTGGGGTGAGGGACTTCACCTCTTTGACCTCATTCTGAATCTGGAAATGGAGGTAAGAATGCCTCCCTCCCAGAATGGTTGTGAAGATCCAATCCACACTGTGTATGAGACCGCTAACCCAGCATGCAGCTTCTGGAGGTGCCTGGAAAACGGCAATGCTCACCATATTTTTCTTCATGCGCTTAAAGTCTCATTTTAAGGCCCAATAAATTTTAGAAACAATGGTGGAAGCAAATGGGAACAACAATACCCATGATCTAGGAATACACTTGCGAAAGTTTCTGCTTAACAACTGAACCCAGAGCAATCGCGGTGGAGAAATTGAAACTCTTTCACCATGAGCAGCTCAGCCCTGATCCCAAGTCAAGTCTGGCCTAATGGACATACCAGGCAATGAGGGTGAGGGTCCGTGACCAGGAGCAGAGCCCAGGACTGTCCAGTGGAAATACAGCCCACACCATATATGTCATTTCAAATCTTCTAGAGCCACATTCCAAAAGTAGAAACGTGTGAAAGTAAATTTTAACAATATATTTTATTAAACCCAGAATGTCCAAGGTATTGTCATGTCAACATGTAATCAATACAGAATATTGTTGAGATATTTTCCAAGGTTTTCTTTGTACTAAGGAAATCCAGTGTGCATTTTACACTCACAGAACATCTTGGTTCAGACCAGCCATGTTTCAAGTGCTCATTAGCCACATAGGGTTGGTGGCCACTCAAGTGGACAAAGTGGCTCTAGGGCAGAGGTCGGCAAACTGTCCATGAGCCAAATCCCTGTGCTGTCTGTTCTGGACAGCCCTGTGAGCTAAGAGTGGTTGTACACACTTCAATAATTGGAGGGAAAATGTCAAAATAAGAATATTTGTAATACATGGAATTGTATGAAAATCAACTTTCTTCTTTTAAACTCTGAAACTGAAGTTTTATTTACCGTGTTAGTCACTCCTATTTGTGTAGAGTGTCTCTAATTGCTTTCATGCTACCATGGCCTAACTGAGCTCTTTTGACAAAGACCCACTGGCCTGCAAAGCTGAAAATATTTACCATCTGGCCTTTTGCAGAAAAAGTTTGTCAACCCGTCCTCTAGGGAGTAGCTCCTCTTAACGCTGGGCTTCCAGATCTCTCTGAGTGTGGAGAGAGGAGCAACTACACCCAGATCCACCAGGAAGCCGACCTCCCAGCTGGTTGCCATGGCTTTGTTGTGAGACTTGGTAGCACTTTAATAAACTGGATTTCCTTCACAGATTCTGTTTCTTATGTCTAAGTCTTCCATCGTAAAGTCCTAAACAAAGAATCCTAAAGGAACTGCCTTGAGGAGAGGCCTCAGCCAAGGTGACCCTCAGTTGAATGTGACTATCGCCATCCCAGCACCAGGCTGGTCAGATAGGGAGAAGGGCAGCCCTATAGAAGGGGCCTCGGCAACTTGGGCTCTTTCAAGCTCTGAGCTACAAACAGGGCCCTGCCCCCATAACTCTAGCCCCTCTGAGCTACACATTAGCAGGCAACACCTCACCAACCTAGTGCTCCTGCAAGAGAGGTCCTCCGGCTCAGGCCCCTCAGCAGGCAGCCAGCCCAGCTGGGCCTAAGCCCCTGAAGTGAGGGCTCCTCCAGTGAGGCACCATCTTGCCATCAGGCTTGGAAATACACTCATGCTGTGCTCACAGTGGGCACAGAATCCCCATAACAAATCGGTAGCTAAGGAGGTGCCCTGCAGGCATTGCCCTCTCTGCAGGGAGAGGCAAGGAGAACAGCTGGCTGTGTCCTGCACTTGGGCTGGGAGAGTACTAACTGGATAGGTGGGAAGGTGAGCCCTCGTCTGCATCTTCTGTGCTGCTATTAGCTGTGGCATCCTGGGACCTCTGCAAGCCTCAGTTTCCTCATCCTTAAAAAGGAAACATTAGCTGCCATCTTACAGGGAGACTAAGTATTTTGTGGAACAAAGCACAGAAAGTGTTTTCCTGGCACATAATGAGTGCTCAGGAAATATCACTTCTCCATATCTCATCCTTCCCTAGCTCCCCAATGGATAGTGATTCATGGGGATGGGAAAAAATCATGCAGGGACCTATGATCAGGGGTGTATAGGGTGTGGGTTAATTGATGTGAGGACTTAGAACCATGTGGCACACAAAGTAAGCATTCTATGTTTGCTGGCTAGCATTTTCACTTGCTATTATTATTATTAAGCCATGGAAATGTACCACCGTCCTGAAGAACTTTACAGAAATGACTCCTAAAGGAAAGCTGGGTGATAATGAAGAAACGTTCCCCGACAGGAAGTCACATATAACCAGGACGCAAAGTTAAAAGAATCAGGTGAGTGGCTTCCTGTTATTTGCAGGGATATGAGCTTCAAATACCCAGAACCAGAAATTGGCCTGAAGGACCCATTCTGCACTGCCCTTATTACCAGCTTTTGAACATTTCTAATTAATACCAATACAGAGCAGATTAAATTTGCTGCAAAATTAAGTTAGCGATCACCACGTGCGGCAAGGCCATAGCTAGACCGTTTTTTACCCACGCTGTTGGGTGGGTGTGCTGCCCTCACAGTGTTCCAGAGGCCTTGCTGAGGGGTGCAGCCAGTGAAGCCACTGCAAGGATGGGCCACCACAGCACGCCGCCTGAGGACAGCTTTATTTATGCTCTTGCAGAATGTACAAGTGGGCCTTGTTTTTCTGGACGGCTAGGGAGCACACTGGCTCACATAGCGTCCATGGTTCCACATTTAGAGTTGTGTCTTCATTCACATTCTTTCCATGCAGCTCACAGCTCCTGGACTGGATGACAGTGGTCACTTTGCCTGGGCCAGTCCCCCGGACAGATGCCAGCTCTGGGCCATGCAGACCCTGAGCTTGGGCTCAGTTTTTGGTCTGGAGCTTGGGCTCAGTTCTGCGGCTGTGTTTCTGGCTGGGGATGGTCTGCATCAGGATACCCGCTGTAACTGACACAGACATAGAGTCTATTACACAGGGCAGGTGGGGGAACATCCAGGAGAAATTAGATTCTGCAGGTGTCAGCTATGCTCAGGCTTGCTGGTTGGAGCCTCCAGCCAAGCTCTGAGGGCTGCCTGCTCCTAGGACAGGCTCTTGCTGGGTCAACTGTGTTTTATTATTCTCTCCCTACCCCTCCTGCTGATGTCATTGACAAAGCTACCCGCCAGTGCCCGGCCCCCGGAACATTCCCCAGCCATCCCACGGTGCTCTTTCCTCAATCAGCCACTTCAAGCAAACACCATTCGCTCCTGCTGCAGAGCAAAGCTTGCTGTTTCTAGGATCCTAAACAAGACATGAGGTCATGCTCTCCACCTGTGAAGAATGAAACGTAAGCTGGGGAAGGAAGGTGCTGAGGAGGGGAGGAAAGCAAATTAGGAAGACCAGCGGCCCTGCCGAAGCTTTCAGCTCATGTTACTCACACCCCAAAGCAAACTCCTCCATAAAATGAGGTTTAGTAATGCAACATTTTCTAACATCTGGAACAAAATGATTTGGGTCAAACAGATGACATATGAACTGACTGTAAATTTGTTTCAATGTGTACTGGGAGGGAGGGAAATTAACAAATATGTCAAATCCATGATCTATTAAGTATTGTTGTTTTCCATAAAGTTCTTCTGTTCAAGAAAAAAAGCAAGTCAATTTAAATTTTCTTTAAAGGAAAATAGTAAGTAAATGTTGATACAGATGGTTGAGGTGTAGCAAAAATCATGGGAAAAAATAACAAATAAATGACTAACATTTTGGGAAGCTTTGCAATAGACGAGCATATTCATGTACATGAGCTCCCCTGACCCTGAATCCCACAGAGCACAGGCATTCTCTCCACTTTAGAGATGGGTAAACTGAGGCTCAGGAAGGGTAAGTATGTGACATGTCAACTGACCAGGAAATAATGGAGCCAGGGCTCAAAATCCTGTGTACTTTTTAAATGTTGGCTCCCATCTCAAGTTGATGGCTTTTGTCTGACCTTTTGGCATGCGTTTGTTTTGGCAAATGGGGAGGTAGGGAGGTGGGTGGGTAAAATTGAGGGGTTCACTTTGGGCCTCCCTCAAAGCATCTCTGAGTGCGGAGCAGCAAGTAATCATCCCCACAGCGAGGTTCTGAAGCTCTCAGGGCAAAAGGCAAGTCTTGAGGCTCCCAGGAGGAGGCGGGTCTGAATGCTCCTGCTGGTTGGAATCTCACACCTTAGTCTGCAGGGCAAGGAGGAGCTGTTCTTTGTGACTTGGTTTAGACAAAAGTACATAGACCTGGGTCCCTGTGGCCCTGGCTGTCAGCCGGTTCAAGGCTGGAGGTGGTGCCAGGCCCCAGCTTGGGGCTGGGACACAGGTTGCTGCCCTTGAAGAGCCCACAGGGGCAGAAGGGACAGTCTACAAATAGACCCAAAGACACAGCACACTGCAAACTTGCAGAGGCTTTGAGCGCTGCACAGAGCAGGACACCCAGCGGGGGCCAGTCATCTCCGCTTTCTCAGGCCACAGTCAGGGAAGCATAAAAAAGAACCTTGGAGAGAAAGGGGGAAAAAAACCCACTCTTGCATTAAATCCTGGTAGCAAGCAGACTATCCTAGGGCCAGCTTGGGAGAGTAAGGAAGGCACTCTGGGAGCTGGCATGGCACAAGCCAAGGAAAAGCCAGTGGAAAAAGTTGGGGGATCTGTGGGCAGTTTGGGGAGCAGGTGACCCCAGCCTGAGACAGAAAGCAGCCATTGGGAAGGCAGGCATGAGCCCACCTCAGGGTTGAAGGGAGGCCAGCCCTTCCCAGAGGTGGAGAGGGGAGCCTGGCAGAACGGGACTTGTCCACTGGTGCTTGGACTTTGCAAACAACCGGGCTTGCTGTAGCCAAGCTTACCAAGTGGACACTTACCTTGCCTCTTCCCCGATTATTTCATATCCTTCTGTAACTCTCACCCTGAGACCCAGCCTGGCCTTCCCCTAGCTGCAGATTATTCTGCTCCAAAAGCACAGCAGAGGACGGCTCCTTACTCGAGGAATGCGGGCGGCGGTCGTCCAGAGCCGATGATGAAACGGGCTATTTCTGCCCCGGGACATCAGCAGGGCTCTGGGCTCTGGCTCCAAGGCACACACTCTCCTGTTTTTAATGTTTCCCTAAACAAATGTTTTCCTTCCCACCTCGGGATATTTTTATTTGACTCTAGGTGCTGGAATAGCTTTAGCAATCATTCTGGATTGAAGTTGGAATCGTGGTTAGGGTCCGGCTAAGCGGCAAGCAATTTCTCACTCCCCAAGTGATCTGTTACTCGTGGCTGATTTGGAAGTAAAAATAGCAGCTGAGGCTGTTTGTTTAATCTGACTGTTACTTGACACCACGCGGGTGTTGCAGTGCGGACTGTTTGCCTCTTCCCCACCAAGAACACCATTTGGTTTCCCCCGGCTGGGTCTCTATTTAGGTAAGCTTCGCGGACTTCCCGTGTCTGGCCGGCTTCTGGTCACTGATCTTCCTCAGGTGGGTAGGTTTGTGAGCTAGAGGAGGCTTGGGTCCTGAATCCACTCTCCTATCACCTTTGGGCAGCCTGGATAAAGAGGAAAGAAGTCTTGGCTGCTGGGCAGAGCCGGGTTTCTCTCCCATTCCCGAGGAGGCCTGAGCAGCTGGACACGCAGAGAGCGGAAGGTACAGCCCAGACACTTGTCTGGCTCCTTAGCGTGGGCAGGGAGGCTCAAGTTCATGGCGGGAGGGATGTTCCCGCTGGGCCGATGCTGTGCTGGGGAAGTAGTTCGGTGCCAGGGTGCTGTGCAGGGTGGTATGTGTGTGCCGGGAGCCCATTGGTGTTGGGGCTAAGGTTCTTGGTGTGCTGGATGGGCCTCGGGGACCACGTACCCGGAACCGTGTACATGTGTGACTTTGTCCTTAGGTGTCATCTGTCAGGGATCTCTGCTCCCACATGGCTGAGTGCACAGATGTGCCCAGGCCACTGCGCTGTCAAATGGGTGACCCCATGGTCCCAGGTTTTCAGCATTCAGGGCTGAGGGAGGCTGGCTTTCTTAGCTCCCCCAGCGCTGGGCCAGGCAGGGTCACACCAGCTGTAACAAAGAGAAAAACTGGTGACTGAGACGTTCTGGCCTGTGGGCTCTGCGAGCATGTGTGTCCCCAAAACAAAGCCCGCCACAGGCTGCCTGTTCTTACACACCCTGGGAGGGCCCCCACCAGACTCCCACAGGGTATGCTTGACTGAGTCTAAAATTACCTCTTTTATTTTCTGGTGGAGAAGAATTGAACATTGAGAACGGCAGTGGTCAATGTGTGTGGAAAGCTAGATAGCCTTAAGAAAAATCATTGTGTAGGCCTTTCAGGTAGCTCCCTAAGTATAGGAACCTGGGAAGCAGATTAAACAGATGTGTGTAGTAAATGAGGTCCTGTTTTCCAGCATTTGAGTTCCCTTTGCAGTAGTGGCTGGTAACTCTGGTCTGTGGTCTGAGCATCTGGTTTTGTAAATAAAGTTGTATTGGCACACAGCCACCTTCATTCATTTGCATATTGTCTAAAGCTGCTTCTACACTATATCAGCAGAAACCATATGGCCTGCAAAACTGAAAACGCTTACAATGTGGCCCTTTACAGAAAAAGTTTGCTGACCACTGTGTTACAAGAACACATCTTGAGATGGGTCAATTTAATACAAAAAAAAAAAAAAAAAAAGCAGTGAAAGTTCTTGCTGTTAGAATAGTTTGTAAGCCAGACCCTTCAGGACCAGTGGCTGGCTGGCTCCTGAGCCTCCTGCACCTTCCAGGGCCCACTTTTTAGGCCTGGCTGATACAGGAAATGTCCAGTTTGCTGTCACGGTGCTGGGAGGGTTAGCTTAGCAGTAGAATCACCAGACACACAGCGTGTCCATGTGGCCTGGGCTGAGCAGGGCAGATTGTGCTTATCGGGGTGATTTATAAATAGCCTTCCCCGGGTGACCCAAGTCCAACACACATCTGCCCCTGGGTCTCTGGGAACAAGTTTGTCTGCTCTTGGATGACCAGAAGCTCACTGGGAAGGGAACAACTGTGTGCGGTGGGTAAGAAGGGGGCTGGTAGAATGCTGTGTCCTGGAGCAGAGGGGCTTAGGTCTCCTGGAACCTGGGGAGAGAAAGCTGTTGAGAGTAGACAGGAAGGCCAGAGATGGCCTTGCATCCTCCCACCTTGATTTCTTTTTGCCAGGACAGAAGTAAGTGTCTTTGTCTTTTCCTGACCCTAAGGAAGCCCTGGAGACCCTTACTGAAGAGGGGAGGCCTCATGTCTTGAAATAGCCCTATTCCTCCAGTCTCTGCCAGAAATCTCAAGAACCCAAGCCTGCTGGTGGCACCAGAACTGGGCCGTCTTCCTCATTGGCTCTTGGGATTTTACTCCATATGCCCTGGGTTACTGGAGGGAAGCAAAGGGCTTTGAGAGAAGGCCACGCTACAGGGGCACACAGGGCTGCTGCTCCCCAACAGGGTCCATCGAGGCTGGAGTGGATTTTGGTTTTATTTCCATTTGAGAGTTTAAACCTCATTTCACAAAATCCAGCCAGTCCATAGTCTTTATCTCAATCATATGCTTCATTTAGTTAATTGGAAAAATCTCAGACACCCCCTCATTTCTACTTGGTTTCCAAGGGTTGCATGGCATGAGCTAGTGGATGGGACAGAGCGGGAAGGACAAGGGATCAGTGGAGGCCTATCAAGACCCAAACATGGAGCATGTAGAGCACATGCTGATGTTCAGATGTGTCACCCCCAATTTAAGTCATTGGTATCACTCTGGAACATTCCCTGGAAGGGGCTGCCTGTGGGAAGAATACAGTGTGATTAATCCACAGCCTCCTAAAGTCAAGGGGAGGCAAGAGCAGAACTCAGCTGACCTGGGTTCTCAGGAGAAAGACTGAAGCCAGCTCAGTGCAAAGTGCATTCCCTTCTAAGCCCAGGTCAGACAGCCTGGGGAAAGTCTGACAGAAAGAAAATCCCAACAACCAATCAACCATGAATAGCTTCCTCTCCAGACTTAGGGACCTCCCTGTCTTAGATGAAGGGGAAAGGGACGTTCTTCTGGGCCATGACACATGGCAGATGGGCAGGCCTTCCTTGCGTCCTCCATTCTCTGCTTGGCCAATCCCAGGGGCTCCTTTGGCCCACCCCACTCTGGGCTGTCTTCCCTTGCCTCAGTTAGTCCCTTCTTTCACTACTAACCCCCTTCCCAGGTGGGCTTGAGCTGCTGAGGAGCTGCAAGGATGGCTGGAGGGAAGGATTTCATCTGGGATATCTCCCACCTCAAAGCCTTCACCTGAAGCTTGAGGAGGGCAGGGGGAAGGGGAGGCTCTCCAATTTGCTTGGGAAGCCTCTGAAGGAGTTTCTGAGGCTCTCTCCCTACTCCCCACTGTGTCAGGAGGTTGGTTCCAGATCTGGCACCACTGAGCCTGCCTGTGAGGGCCAGTTCATGCCAGGTCACATTGGAGCTGCCCCTTGGCTTGCCATGTCCCGGGTTGCCAAGCCACAGTAGCACCACCAGCTCATCCTCTCACCTGGCTGTGTCTGCCACCCTCAGAGGCAGATCAGCCGAAGACTGCAGAGGTCAAGGGGTTAGAGCTCAGGCCCCCTGGGCTACAACCACTAGATGCAAGCCATTTCTTGCCCTCAGTTTGCCCACCATTTCCCCTGTGGAAATCATTGGCTTCAGACCTCCAGTGAGCAAAGTTTTGGAGTATCTGGTCTCATTCTCAACCATCCAGCACGGTAGGTCTTGTGAGCCCCCTCACGGAGGCAGGCGCCGAGGCTTGAAGAGGTTAAGTAACTTGCCCAAAGATGCACAGTGAATGAGGGGCTTGTGATCTGAATGCAACTCCCATGTCTTGTACTCACTGCCTCCTGATACCCAGAGCTCCCAATAGATTCTCTAGAAAGGAGGCTATCCCATCACTAGAGTCAAAACCTCCCTTAGGAAAGCTGAGTATGCCTAGAGAGGTGCACAGGCTTCACCCCAGCTCCTCAGGACTTTGGGAAGTTGCCCAGGGTGCTGCAGGGATTCCACACTGCGCTTGGAAGCCTGTGGCTCAGAAGGGGCAACAGGACAGGCAAATCTGGGTTCATAGGTCAGCCCTGTCACTTCTCAGCAAGCCCCCTGGACCTCAGCTTTCTCCTCTGTAAAATGGGAATAATAACAGCTCCCACATTAGTCCTGTGAGCATTAACTGAGCAAATGTATGAAAAGTTCCCAGCACGTGGTAGAAATACAAGAACTGCTCTCCTCACTCCACTGTCCTATTTAGAGATTTTTTTCTTCCCACTTAAACTCCAGCTTGGGCCTATACCTTCCAGAGTCACCAAGGAGAAAGTCCTGTGCCTCAGAGTTCAGCTGGTTCATGCTCACAACTCAGTGGGAGAGCAGCTGGCACCATACAGGACTGACCCCAACCCCATGGTGACCACACATGGTGACCACCTCCCCTCTTGTGCGGAAGAGGTCATGGATCTGAGCACCTTCAGCACATGGGGTGGATGGGAGGTCAAGCCTGAGTGGGAAAATGATACTCCCACCTCTGAACCAGGCTCAGGACAAGGGCAGACATGGCACAAACCACAGCCACTGACAAGCATCAGACCCGAGTGGCCCAAGAGACTATGACTTGTTAGTACGTCCTCCCTGAAGCAGGGGCAACCTCCCATCACTCAAGACCCAGATCAGCTTTCTCCAGGTGCGGTCTCAGGGCCAGCAGATCTCCTGAGTCCTGAGCGGGATCAAGCACTGTTAAGCCAGCCCCGAGGGCATTCTGAAAAGTGTGAGGATGCTTCCTTAAGAAGGGAAAGGGGGGCAAGGGGCTGGCGCTGTTCTCAGACACAACAGGAGATGCTCCAAGGAGCCAAGTTTTTCACATCAACACAGCCATAGGTTGAAATAAACATGGTTGTTAAAGGAGCATCTTTCAGCTTTAAATTTGAAAAGGAGAACCAGGCTGGCCACATCTGAATGGTTTTCCTTGCCATGAGGAATTCCATGAAGCAGTTGGGTGCTGGTCAGCTCCTTACATTGCACTGCAGGAGCCTGTTCTCCCCTTTCCTTCCCCTGGCTGAGCCGCCTTACCCCTGCTGTGCTGGTTGGAGAAAGGACAGCAGTCATCTACCAGCTACTTTCCAGCCTCCAGCAGAGACAGGAGAAGGCCAGGCACAGCTTCAGACCTATGTGGGAGGCTTAGGAATTCCCAGGGGTGCTCTGTGTGAGGTCCCCTTCTCCTTATCCCAGATGCACACAGCTTTGTGGCTTCCAGGCCAGGGAAGATGAGCTCTGCAGGAGAGCCAGGTCCTACACATGCCTCCTCTAGCTTTACTAAAGCAAATGCTCCCTGGCGGGACCAGATGCAGAGAGAGATAACTGAGAATTTGCTAGGAGAGGGGTTGCTACCCACTCCTCGCCCTGCACAAACCTGTGGCAGATAGAAGACCATCTCATCTCTTGACTCTCTGCCTCACTGCATTCTGGAGAGACCTGGCCCTGAATCCTGGCTCTGTTGCTCTCTGGCTGTGTGACCTTAAGTGAGTTCCTTAACCTCTCTGACCTTCAATTTCTCCACCTAAAATTCCTTTTGCGTCAGCCCTACTCAATTTGCCAGTTGTTGCACCCACTGAGTGAGGCCATGGATACAGAGTGAGGGACAGGTTGCAGGAGCGCCGTCAACAGGATGGGTGCCTGGGACTACCAGGGGGCTAACATTTGGTGACAGCTCTTCCAGCTCTGCTTCTCTGCCTGTGTCACGCAACCTCATGGCACCAGTTTGCATATGGAGAACCTGGTCTATAGACAATGTGATGGACTCTGTAGAAACCCTGCCCTCCCGTAGTTCTCAGGAGTCCTGCCTGAACCTCCTCTCTCTGCCAAGGCTGGCACCCTCCGGGGCTGCTTTCAGGGGGTTCCCCTCCCCTTAGTGCCTGGCTCCCTTCCCAGGGGCTGGAGAAAGGATGGTTCCTGAGGGGATACCCCCATCCCAGCAAAAACAAATGTCTCTTCCTCCAGGAGCCCTCAAGTGGGCTTCTGTCTAGACAAGGCTCTCCAAGGTGGAATCTGGTCATAGGTTACAGTTGTCCCTTCACCACCCACTTCCTGATCCATAAGGGGTTTCCACAAGCATCAAGCTGCTGGGTCTGCCTTTCCATTTGCCCCAAGGTCACCAAAGTGAGACTGAGGCTCACACAAGTTAAGTGGCAAGTCCTAAAGCTGTCTGATTCTGAAGCTCTTAACTGGAGAGTTATGTGCCCCAGTAAGTAAGGGCCAGGGCAGGGTTTCAAGTTCTTTGCACCCCATGCTATGGAATCCCAGGTGTCATGGGGTATGGGGAATAGAAGGACATCTTATGGCCATAGGTCTCAAGATGAGCTCTAAGGAGACCTGTGGGTAAGAACCAGGAGTATGGAGGCTGCAAGGTAGCCAGGGGCAGGTGGGTCCCCAAAGTCACAGTGTGGTGCTGAGCAGAGACTTTTAACCTGTAGCTGGCATTCTAGAAGCTGCTAGAGGAGGCTCTCTAAAGACAGGTGAAAGGGACCACTTCTCTGGCAGCCCTAGGTTCCAGCCCCACACCACCAGGTATTAAATTCTGCGCTACACACGTTTCTCCTCTGTAAAGAACAAGAGTAACTCCTGTGTAATGAGGCTGTTGTGAATACTAATTAAATAATAAATATTAATAATACTAGGTTATAAAGTACCTTTATACCAGGTGCTCATTACCCACTCAGTGGATAAGAGAAATTTCTCTCACCTACTCATTCACTCACTTGTTTAGCAAATAAAAGGCCCCATGCTAGGCATAGGCACTGTGTGGAGACTGGAAACATAAGCTAGAGCAGTAAGGCAAGGCCCAGCCCATGGACCTGCCACCAGCGGGTGGGGTCTCCTCCCCTCCCCAAGTGAATCTGATCAGCCACTGTTTGGGCCTTGGGTCTCCAATTCTCCATCCAGATGAAAATCTAGCATTACCAGAAACGGGGCACCCGTAAGTTGGGCATAATTAGGGATGCCTAAAATTTCTGGTCTCAGAGAGTTTTTTTTAAATCACTATAGATCATAAGTCATTACTGAGTCCTGAAATCACTAAGTTGTGAAGAGGTTTTTTAAATGAACGAATAGATTAGATTAGGATGGAGCAGTACATATAAGAAGGGTAAGCTTTGCTTTGTCTGGTTTTCCATGATACATATGTCTCCAAGCATGTTCTGTGCCATGATGTAAATGCATTTCTTACTACATGTAGAGGAGAAACCTCTGCTCTGTGGAGACACGGAGAGGAGGATGTGTATGCCATTCACTCGCTCCCTGTCGACCTGGCAGGTGAGGCACGGGGCTGCAATGGTCAGGGCCTTCTGAACCTCCTTCTAGTCCAGGCGTCCTCCCTGCTGTGGTGGGGATCCAGGACCTGGTGGTTTGGCTGACTCCAGCATCGAGAGACTCTCAAGCAGTGCCTGCCACAGGGACCGATTCCATGAAAATTCCTGTGTCCAGCATGGGGAGCAACCTTGGGAGTGGGCAGTCCCAGGGGCGGGCACAGCCGGGCTGATTTTTATTATCCCTTTTTTCCAGGTGTAGCAGTTAAGTGACACCCATGACAACAGCACTTTAGAGCTGGGTCTCCGCTCTTCGCACTGCTGGTACTGCCTATTTGATGACTCTCATGTCAGGTCCTGCCATTTCCAGAATCCAGGGCAAGATGTTCCTAGGAAATGTGGAGGGGAAGAGCAAGTGAATACATGAATGAGTGAAGGCAGGAAGAGCCTGGTGCTGGGCTAGTGCTCCCTCCCTGATTCTCTAACAGCAGTTCTCAGCCAGGGGTGATTTTGGCCAGAGACTTGGGCAGTGCCAGTGATGTGGGGACTTAGAAAGTCTATTGGGAGCACCTGTGCCAGGTGCATGGCATGGGGTCCACTTACTTGCAGATGAGAAAGGCTCTCACATGCCATGTCCCTCAAGCACGGTTGTACTCAGCAACCATGGCTAAAGGGCACAGAGCAGCACGAGGACCTGTGCCCAGATCCCAGGGGGACCCACCATTCACATGGCCCCAGAGCTCCTGAAGGAGCCATGTGTCCCTTCTCCAGCAGCTGGCCTGGCAGTGGGGGTGGCCCTGCAGTTTGGGTTGGGTGCAACAAGGAGGTGCAAGGGTAAGAAGGATGAGCAGCAGAACCATGGCTGCCAGGCTGACCCTGCTTTCTCCCAAAATCTCTGCCTCTCAGGCAACTCCCCTCCTGGGCAGTGGAGCAGGACTGGCACTCACCCAACCCTGGGATAGGAAGACAGGGTGAACAGAGTTGTTTGGGATCACATGCTCTCCCTTCCAGATCTTTCCTGCTCCTACTTTTACCTGTGATGCCAGCATGGCTGCTCCTATAAAGCACCTCTGAGCTCACAAGGAGACGCCAAGGGCACCTCTGAGCTCGCCAGGAGAAGCCAAGGGCACCTCTGAGCTCACGAGGAGAAGCCAAGGGCTCTTTGCTTAGGGAGCATCTGGCTGCTGAGGCTGGGCCCCTTGAGGTCTGCAGAGAACACCTGAGAGAGTGTCGTGGAGCAGCTGGCAGTGCCAGGCCTGAGCTCCTTCCTAGTGGAAGGGACTGTCCAGAGACGGTGTCTGGCTGAGTCCAGCCCATCTGGCCACCAGGAGTTCCAAGGAGTGATCCTCCATAATGCTCCACCTCCAGAAGCGGTCAGAAACTGCGCAAAGAGGTGCTGCTGACAGCTCGCAGGTTAGCCTTTGTGGAGTGAGACTCTACCCAAGTTTAAGCAGTGCGAGCTCCGGAGCCTGCTGGGATGCAGAGGCGCACCAGAGCCCCCTGCACCCTGCAAGGCCCACTGAGCACACCTCGTCCCAACTCTGCCTGGGATATCAGGGAGGCAGCAAGAAATTAGCCAGTGCTACAAATCCAGTGCTTTTTGCCCCAGAGAGCTGGTTATTAAACATCGCTTGGCCTGCCCTGGTCATCAGGGAACAGGAACCAGGAGGGGACAGGTTTGTGGGAGACTGCTTGAACCCAGTCCCATTCTCCTCCTCTCTTCTTTTCTCCTGTGACTTCTCATTTCTCCTGCCATAAGGGTCCCTCCCTGGGTCTGTGATGCCAGGTATTGGTCACCCTCATGTCCTGGGTTAGACCAAGCCCGGCCTTCCCTGTGCCTTGTTCCCTGGCCTCAACTGTAGGCACAGCCCTGGGTCTGAGCAGCACTTGGAAGCTTCTGGGGAATGACCCATCCAGACATGGCAGACTGGCTACCCAGGCCAGAAGTCAGCTTCAGGCTGGGCTGAGCTCACAGAGAAAGCATCACTCCTCCAGTCTCTCCCCAGAGGGCAGCAGCCCCTGCTACCCCCTGCTCACATCCAGTTCTGTGGGTTTGACAAGCCCAGGCAAGCTGGTTTCTTCAACCACAACCCCTGGGGCATCCTGGACTTCTACCTGCTACAAGATTTAGAGGCTCCTGCACATGTAATGTGGTTGTAGAAGATTCAGACTCCCACCAGGCCAACACTGCCATCATGGCACCCAACCACATCATGTTCCTGGGGCTGGCCAAAGCCAAACTTGTTCTCTCCCAGGGCACAGTGGCCTCAGAGTCAGTTTGAGAGCCTTTGGCTTTCCCAGGCTATAACCTGAGTTTGGGTCCAGTCAAGCCAGGCCAGGCTGCAGGCTGACACCCCTCTCCCATGTGCCAAATATCAGGCTAGTGGAGCCAAAATGGCCAGACTGGATGCACAATGACCCTTATGTATATCAAATCTCTGCTTTACACACATAAGAGGCACTGCCCAGTGGAAGCCAATCTAAGGCAATCAGAGGTAATTGTGCTTTTACAAAGCAGTAACTTCCCAGGATCCATCCAGTTACGTGAGGAGAGGGCCCGGGTCAGCCCTGCACATGGCTATATCTCCAGCACCAAAACTGGTGACGTGAAGCAGGTGTTCAATAAGTAGTTGTTGAATGGATCAATACATAAATAAGCTTAAGTCACGCTTACGAGATCTTACGCTTTCTTCTAGGAGTCTAAATGAACTTATAATTTCTGATTTCCAAAAGTAAAAGGGGTTACAAAGACACAGCGAGCCCCACATGGGAGATGCTGAGGAGGCATCAACCTGGGGCCAGAGAGCAGGGCACAGAGGCCGAGGACTGGGTGAGGCCCTGCTCAGCACTCCCAGGCCTTAAGCAAGGGACCAGCGATTGACCTAGCCAGTCACAGCTCAGTTTCATCAGCTGTAAGATGATGAGGGGAGCCTATCATGCCAAGTGTTATCAAGGAATAAGTGAGCACGGGCAGGTGCAGGGGTCGACCTGCTGCTTCACAGACACTCAACACGTGTCTGCTGCCCTCACCTGAAGGACTTCAACTGAGGAAGTAAATTTTGCCATTTCACTGTTGGCTGCTATGGGCTGAATGTGTGTGCTCCAAAATTCACTGAGATTACCCCAGTGGAATGGTATTAGGAGATGGGGCCTATGGGAAGTAATTAGGTCATGAGGGTGGGTCCCCTGTGATAGGATCAGTGCCCTTATAAGAAGAGACACAAAAGGGCTTGCTAATACATGTGCACACTCACTCTCTCTCTCTCTGCTGTATGAGAATACAACAAGCAAGTGTCCATTTACAATCCAGGAAGAGGGCCCTCACCAGAAACCAGATCTGCCAGTGCCTTGATCTTGGACTTTCCAGCCTCCAGAACTGTGAGGAGTAAATGTCGATTTTAAGCCTCCTAGCCTATGATATTTTAGTTCAAGCTAAGACATTCTCCTCATAAAGCATAGACCATAGACAAGGACATTCCCCTCTAAAGCAAGAGGGCTGTTAGAATTGCACAGAGAGGTCGAGAGCTTGGCCCAAAACTGACCAGCAAGGCACCCTGTGGCGTGGGGTGGTGGAGGCTGTGTGTGCTGTGCATCTGTGGATGGAGGACCATCTGTGAGCAGGGCTCCAGGCTGTGCATAGACAGGGAGGAGTTGTCACACTTCACTCCACTGAACTGCTCGTCACACATGCCTGAGTCGATGGCTCAGAAAACCAACCCAGAAAGAAGAGCAAGAGGAATCAATTCCAATTTGTTAGAGCCTTCTGGGTGTGATAAAGCCAACCCCTGCCATCTCCACTGTCTTCCTGTTTCCCCTTCTCTAAGAAGTGAAAGCACCATTCAATTAAGGTAATTAAATTCACCCGAAGATCTTGGGCTCAAAAACCACACTACCGGCAAGTGGTCAAACCCAGCAACAAAGCAAACCCCAGTGGCTTCCTGTGGAAAGATGGGCAGGGATGAGGAGGAAAATGGAACATATCTTCAGCAGCTCAGGGGTGCACCTTGGGCCTGCAGGGGAGCCCCCAGCTCTGCAGAGCCCAGCTGCCTGAGCCTCCCGCAGCACCAGAGCCCTCCCCAAACAGGAAGGACTCATGTTTACAGGCTGAATCAAAAGTTTCACTTCTGTGGATGTCTGGGAGAACTCAGCTGAGAAGATCCTTATTACATGACGTGAAAGTGAAATGAAACCCTCGTTTTCTCCCCCAGAGACACCAATTCTCCCATGAACTCCAGCCCATGAGCCATAAGCGGGGCTGGCAACACCTCCCAGGACACGCCTAAGGAAGCCTGAATCCACAGGCCAGAGGTTCAGGGTTTCCTCCTGGAGAAAGCAGAAGGTGGTAAGGTGGTGAGCCCAGGCTGACTCGTCCCCAGTTCTTCCCTGTCTTTACATGCTGTGTGGCACTGAGCAACATCCTGCACCTCTCTGTGCCTTTGTTTCTCAACCTAGGAGATGGTGACAAGGCCACTCAACCTGCCTCAGAGGAGTCATGAGAATCAAACAAGATCACGGATGCTGAAATGTGTCATGAACTACAGGGTGATGCATACACATGAGCCGTGACTGTCACTGTGTCATCCCAGTATTGACTCACTGCATTGGCTTCCTCTGATTGTGATCCACTTTGAGTGCTAAAAGTTGGTGAGACCCTCAGGTAGCCAGATGATGATGATGATGATGATGATGGTGATGATGATGATGATGAAGAAGAAGAAGAGGAGGAAGTCGTCGTCCAGTGGAATTTGAATTTCAGATAATGAATAATTTTGTTAGTATGAGTGTATCCCACATATTGCGTGGGATACACTTACACTAAAAAAGTATTTATTGTTTATTTGAAATTCACATTTCACTCAGTGTCCTGTATTTTTAATTTGCTCAATCTAGCAGCCCGACCATGCCAGACCACCAACTGTTCCCTCTGTGCAGTGTCCCCAGGACCACCAAGACCCGGCCCCAAGCCCACTCTGTCACTCACCAGCTGTGAGACATGGAATATCTGGGTCCTCCCTCTGAGGGCACTTTGTCTCTCCTCATGGGTGATTGTGGTCCCTGAGTTGGGACCTCCAGCGTCACCCAGTGGGGCTCTGGTCCTATGGACCTGACAAGCTCCTCAGTTATGTGGGGGACACCTGCAATAGGGCTTGGCATGTAGGAGTTGTGAGTCTTCTCCCCTACACTTCCCGTCCTTACAACCTGGGACACATGAGGGTCTGGGATAGATCAGCGGAAGTTGGACTGCATGACCTTCTCAGGCCTGGGTTGGCTGCCAGCCAGGAGCCCCGAGGAAGACAAGGGCAACATGGACCTCTGTCCCTTTGCACACTGCAGTAAACCTCTGTCATTACATCCCAGGGTCCAAGAAGTACACTCAACAACCAGAGCTGAAAACATTTCCCAGTGAGCAGGGTGCACCAGGCACCCTGTAGGTAAAAGATGAACCAAGCCAGGGACCTCACACCAAGGATCTCAAAGTCTAGTGGGAGAGATAGATTCACCGCAGTGCAGGAAGAATAAAGCAATGTAAGTGATAAAAAGGGAAGAAAAGATTCTACGAGGAACAGAACAGAGGAGGAAGTTGTCAGCAGTTGTGGCTGAGGACAGAAGAGACATTCCAGGAAGAGGGACTATTACTTGAGGGATCTAGTCCAGGACACATGGGTCCTGCCCCTCCCTGGCACAGGGCACCACAGGCCTGGAGGAAGGAGGGTGTGGGAGCAGGCAGAGCTCCCCTGCCAAGAGGGACTTGAGGGTCTGCATAGGCATTTGTAAAGGATTAGGAGGGGGAGAGAATTGTATCCGCAAAAAGCAGCACATCCCAGTCAATAATAACAGCATCATGAGGCATGGCATGGAAAAAAAGCATCATGTGAGAAAACATTTTGGAAGAGTTAGAATTTAGCAATGACTGTGCAAAGGGTATTTCGGTGCTTATCTCAAGGAAAAGCTGATTCATGGGGATACATGTTCAGATTGAGTTTGTTTGATGTAGTCTGATTCAAAAAGATGACCCTACAATAAGGAGAAGAAAATACACATCCTTGAGTGTAATTCTCAGGGCTCCAAGGCTACAGGGCACTACCAGTTCACCCATGCACATATTCACAGTGGGCATGGCAGACCCTTCGCTCTTCTCCAGGGGCTCAAATGGAGAGTCCATTTTTAAATTCCTGCCCAGGGATCCTGTTTCCCCTAGTGTGCTCTGGTGTTTTGCAGAACCTTCTCCATCTGATGCAAGTTTGGCCTGGGTCAGTGGAGGAAGTGCTGGAGGTCTGCAGAACATGGCGCTGTTGAGTCCTGCACAATTGCCTGGAGGCAGAGGGCAAAGCCAGCATTTCATCCACTGACCCTATAATTTAGATAACGCATCACTTAATGACCATTCACACTGTGGCTGTAAACAGAGCCCCAGGTAATGTACTCAACAAAAGTTTGCTGGACGCTGGCCCTCCAGAAGGCATCAAAGCCACTCCCCAACTTAGAGCACTGAGAGCAGTGTGAGAGACCAACTGGGAAATGGTGAAGTCACGATGAAGTCTCTTTTCATCTCCCCCTGACAGAAACGCAATCCAGACATACACAGTACATGCCACGCTGCTGAGGGACACCTTCCCTGGAGCCAGCTTGTCAACAGTCTCTAAGAACAATCCCGTCCACCTGCTTCCATCTCTTACCATGGGGGGAATTTTACATATTTGAGGGGTTTTGAATCAAAAAGTAAATAAAATCCACTTGGATTCAAATTCACTAATTTGAAATTTGTGATAATTCTGTGATTATAGGATTATAATTGACTGTCAATAAAATAAGTTCTGCTAAGCCTGTCAAAAGTGTGAGTAATATCATGACAGGTGGAAGGGTTTTCTCATTTATTTAACAGATATTGCTTGCACTGTGCACTATGCTGCATGAAAAAGAAACAGACATGGACCCCGCCACCAATAAACACTCAGGCTAGCAGGAGGGACAAACATTTAACAACAAATCACCCAGTTAAATGCTTAATTATAATTATGGTAAGTGCTGCAAAATGATGGGTATAGCCCATGATAAAGGGATGTAACGGGCAGCCTTGGAATAGCCTGAAGAAGCTGCATCATCAAAGGGACATGTGAACTGGGCTCTGAAGCACATGTTGGAGTTAACCCAGTAATGATGAAAGGATGGAAGTAAAAAAGTCCAGGCAGAGGGAACACCATGAGCAGAGGCCCTGAGGCAGGAAGTAGGGTGGCATGAAGCTGGACAAGGACCAGGTTGGTTGGAAAGCCAAGCATGAGGGGAAAGATGGAGCAAGGTGTGTTTGGAAAGAGAGGATCTGTGTTAAGGAGATTGATCTTCATTCCTTAAAACTGGAAAGCCATCGAGAGATTCTAAGCAAAATGTTGATATGAACAAGTTTGAGTGTTGAAAGCAGCCTCTTGGTGCAGGGCAGGAATGGGCTGCTGCAGTGGCCCAAGGATTTGAGAGAGCAGCTTGGTCCACACAATGACCGTGGAGATGGAGACTGGTGTGTAAGGAAGAGACCTTCAGAGATGAAACTCATGGGAACTAGGAAATGGATGTCAAAGGGAAAGGCACTGGGAGGAGGAGGAGGAGGAAGTCGAAGGTGACGTCAGGTTTCTGAGGTCCCCAGGGAGAAAGCTGGCTTGCAGAAGGCTCATGGACTCTGCTTTAAACATGTGGGTTGGAAGGGCTGTGAGACAGGGGCACCGAGTTGCCTGGTGGGTGGGCGGAGGCGTGGACTGCAGCCAGGCAAATGGCCTGGCCTGGACGCTGCCTCAGTGCGTGGATGTTTGCGGGGACCATGGTGTGGGGACAATCGCCTGCGTGGTGACTGTAGAGTGAGAAGAGAAGAGGCTCCAGGGCTGGGAGCAGAGGAAATCCAGCAGTCAAGGAGAGGAAGAGACTAAACATCCAGACAGGGAGGGGAGAAGGAAAGGTCAAAGTGAAAGAGTATCTTAAGTAGACAATGGCCACGAGTCTAGATTGCAGCCTAGAAGTTCAGTCAGATGAGGAGCAAAAATGCCATCAGAACATCCATCAGGAAGGAGTGGGGGCCAGACATTAAAGGCCGAGTGAAATGGGTAAAGAAATAATGGAGGTAGAGGGGAGATATGAAGCATTTAAGAGAACAGTCTTTGAAGGCCACAGACTTAAATAGGAACTGACCAGGTCATAATTAAATATCGATGTTTATTTCTATGCATTCATGACCAGGTTCCAAGATCTTGTTTAAAACATGGCCCTGCCATGTGCACTGTATCCTCCTTCATGCTGCCTGAAGGGAACACACCTTTTCACTGGCAAAGTGCTCTATGAGCAAGAATTTTCACCAGTTCAGAGTGGCTTCCTTCAAATGGTTCAAAGTGGTAAGCAAGAGAGTTTTTTCACTGGCATCTGGAAAATTCATGCCAGCAGCAATGTCAGTGAGTCCATGAGGCAACTGCCTAGGGGGAAAGCCCAAGCACAGGGTGAGGGGTGCCCTAACCATTCACAAAATAAATGCCATTATGTCGTTCTGCACCTCCGTCTCATCCATGTGTGGCACCAGATGGGTTTCATCCTCATCCCTAAGTCAGATCTCAGTGGAGCTGTGGGCAGGGGAGTGGCCTTATTATTTAGAGATGCAAATGGGCTGATCTGAATTTTTTGGAAGGCCATAAGACCCAAGGCCAGGAGTCTTTCTCAACAAAATTCCTATTATCTTTTCCCTTCTTTTCTGTGCCTCAGTTTGCCCTCCAGGAAAAAAATCAGAATAAAGATAACCCAATTCAGAGCATTACCACAAACAGTGACTGAGCTTCCATTTATTGAGTTCAGTATACAAGACTCCCTTCCTTGGTTCAAGGAACTTCCTTTCTAGTGAGGAGGGAAAGCAGCGATCATCAGTTCCTGAAACATATGGGTCACGATGTATGAAGTGACAACAGAGCTGAGCTATGGAAAAGGTAAACCCAGTATGCTTTGGGAACACGAAGGAGGCCCATCTAAGCCAGCCTGGGGAGTCAGGGATGGGGCCTCGCCGTATGGTGGTAGACACAGAGCACCTCTGTGATTCTCCAAAGAAATAGACACCACCAATTCAAGCAATTATGATTATTAATATTATTAATAAACTACCTTGAACTAGATTAATATCCAGGAGCTACAAGCTGGGAAAGGTCTTATGGAAACCCCAAAGGTTTGCATTTAAAATGTGCAGAGTGGATTTATTTTAATTAGTTCACTATTCATTCTGAGCATTCTGAATATCCTCCTGGGCAGCTTTTTGGTTCTTTTAGCTGTCAGAAGACTCAAGCCTCCTGCCAACAATGAATCTAACACTGTGCTGCCACTTGCTGAGTGGACTTGACTTTCACTGCTCCAGTTCTCTTTGCTGCAAAACCCAGTTCAGTGGGAAAAGGGCCTTGAGTCAGATTTTATTTGCAAAAAAATAATTCACAACTGGGTCAATCATATTAGAAAACTGAAAGGCTTAAAAGAGGTTTCTAAAAATGTCTTGGGCCATGGACAAATTAATGCATATTAGAAGGGATATAAATTGACCTTATGGTCAAATATGCCTATTTTTGGAACTTTGTTGAGCTCAAGTATGGATTGTTTTTCATTTTTGAAGGCCAACTACATCGTTGTATAACTGACATTTAAAGATACTTTGGGTCAGGCATGACGGTTCACCCCTGTAATCCCAGAACTTTGGGAGGCCAAGGCAGGCAGATCACTTGAGGTCAGGAGTTCGAGACCAGCCTGGCCAATATGGTGAAACCCCATTACTACCAAAAATACAAAACTTAGCTGGGCATAGTGGTGCACACCTGTAATCCCAGCTACTTGGGTGGCTGAGGAAGGAGAATTGCTTGAACCCAGGAGGCAGATGTTGCAATGGGCCAAGATCACACCACTGCGCTCCAACCTGGGCAATAGAGCAAGACCCTGTCTCAAAAAATATAAAAGATACTTTTTCCAATGAACTTGCGCTTGGCCCTTTGGTCAGTTGGGTTCCACTGAAATTATTTTTCTTCTTTCCAGATGGGCAGTGATGACACCAAATATAAGCATAAAAAGACGTTTTAAAACTACAGATCCTGAAACCCAGCACGGCAGGCACCTGCAGCTTCCAGTGCTGTAACAGGTATGGAACTAATCTAAGAGTAGGCATCTAGAAACACCTTCTGTTTTTGGCCATTATGCTGAAAGGTACCATGGGGGCTGGGGGTGGGGGGAGAATGAGGTCAAGTCTCTGACTTTCCATCTGACCCCAGGTATATCAAATCAGAACTGAAGAAATTATCTGAATAAAGCTAGCAACATGGGGAGGGAGTCTCTCTTTTTCCTGAGGCAGAAGTAATGTGGTTATTTTCTGAATGCTCTGAAGATCAATGAACATCCTTCACCACTGTTTAGAATGAGGATATAAACCCAGGATCAGGTAGGGTTCTTCAGCCACAAGCAACAGAAGCAGAAACTCAACAAATGAGGCAGAAATTCATATGTATTAAAAGAAAAATGGAGGTCTTGTAGCCTCAAGGTGACAGCTAAAGTTCCAGGCCAGGAAATGTCAGGGGCCAGGCATGTCCCAGAGCGTAGTGAAAGCTCCACCACCAGCAAGGAAGCCTGAGCACACTTCCGTCCTTGTGTAGCTCCAGGAGAATTGCTACAGTCCATGGGCCTGTCCTCGGTCTCACACCTGCTCTTGGCCCTCGGGAGCCTCTGCAGGCACCTTGACTTTCAGCCCCACCAAGACTGAAAACCAAGGGGAGAGGAAATTTCCCACAAGGTATCAAGTGCTTTTTCTCAGAAGATGCAAGCTGAGTATTCAAAAAACAAATAGTGAATACCTACTAATACGAGGGTGTGTTTAATTGGGTAGAGACTGCTTGGTTGACTCTATCTAAGCTTCTAAATTTAGGTCTCCAACTAACCGATTTTCATCTTAATGAAAACTATCTTATTTTCATTCAAAGTGTAGAAACCCCCAATATTACTGAGTTCAGCCATTGCCAAGATCGGAATCCCAGCATTTAGGACATCAGGAGACTCCTCACCATTTTGACAGGATCTCAGGATACAGAAAACCTGACTCATAGTGGTCAAAGCCACTCAGGTTCCATCAAACCCCACACCAGCCTCAATAACATAAATTCAAGTGGGATGGTGCTGCCGTGGGCTCATGGCTTAGCAGTGCTGGCCAGGACCTGGGCTCCTCACCTGTCCACACTGCCATCCTCTGCAGATTGGCCTTCAGTGGCCATTGCTTGTCTCTCAGGGCTGCAAAGTGAATTCAATATTATGGTTGAATCATGCACCCTCTAAAAAAAATCGTAACTCTCATTACCTCAGAGTATGACCTTTTGGAAATAAGGCTGTTACAGACGTATTGTACTTAAAGACGAGGTTATTAAGGTGGGCCCTAATCCAGTATGACTGGTGTCCTTATGAAAAGGGAAAATTTGGGCAGAGCGCAGTGGCTTATGACTATAATCCCAACACTTTGGGAGGCAAAGGTGGACAGATTACTTGAGCCTGGGAGTTCAAGACAAGCCAGAACAACATGGTGAAACTCCATTTATACAAAAAATAGAAAAATTAGCCAGGTATGGTGTAATGCACCTGTAATCCCAGCTACTTGGTAGGCCAAGGTGGGAAGATCACTTGAGTCCAAAAGATTGAGGCTGCAGTAAGCTATGATTACGCCACTACACTCCAGCCTGGGTGACAGAATGAAAAATTTTTTTTTAATAATTGGAAAATTTTAAAAGGTTTTAAAAAGGAAAAATGTGGACAGAGAGACAAGCATAGAGGGAAGATGATGTGAAGACACAGGGAGAAGACGGGTGTCCTCAAGCCAATGAGAAAGGCTAGGATCGATTCTTCCTTACAGCCCTCATAAGGAACCAACCTTGTGACACCTCGATTTTGGACTTCTAGCCTCCAGAACTGTGCGGCAATACATTTTCAATGTTTGAGCCATCATTTGTTACGGCAGCCCCAGCAAAGAAATCAAGCAGTTTCTGGCTTCTTGTCTGCATTCAAGGCAGGAAGAAGAGCACTGACACAGCGGAGACAACAGAAATTGCTCCTTTGATTAGAAAGGCAGGAACTTTCACAGACTGCTGGCTGCTTCCATCCCTGTGACCACAGCCATGTCCTCTGGCCATGCTAGCTGCATGGGAGTCTGAAGACCGGAGCATGTGTCTTCTACTGGGGAAGGCGTGGGCTTAGCCAGCCCTCAGGGTCTCCCCAACCCATCACGTGGGCTGATGCTCTCCCCTTGTATGCAGCCTTCTAAAAAGCATATGCTGTCATGAGTGTGTACTTTCCAGGGAGCCAGCAGCCTGCCTTTCAAGGTAGGGCTGAGGAGCATGTGCAGAGAGGCCTTCCCAGAGCAGGTCAGTAGCTACTCGTCAGCTCATTCAGTCCACTAGAACTCAGGTCCCATCCTTTCTCCAGCTTAGTTCTGTCTTTCACAGAAACCAGTCAGTCTGCCAATGAATCAGCTTTGCTAACTCACCAGAGTGTTGTGGTCAAGGGACGGAAACAACAGACCCCAATGAAGCCTGGCCTCCAGGATTAAAGACAAACATTACTGACAGCCCAGCAGCTTTGAGCCTATGCCAGGATGCTACCCCTAACCTCCTGGAACCTTGCAGTGAGGACACATGATCCCCACTCTACAGAAACAAAGAATGGTTGCAATCTCACAGCACAGATACAGATGAGAGAGATGCACTGAGGCTGCTTGTGGCCAGCCCATGGTCACTCAGCAAGGGGATGTGGAGCCAGGCAGGATCTGGGGCTTCTGACATGTGGCCAGGCCTCCCTGATGGGAGTGCCTTCACCATCCATCCCCTGGAGCTCTGGCAGTGACTAAGGCCAGCCAAGCAAGGAGGGGAGAGCATAGCCTGCTCAGCTCTGCTGCTGTGAATGGGAGTTCTCTGGCAGTGTTTGATCTGCCAGCTGAACACTTAACAGCACCCTGCCAGATGTCCACTCTTCCAGACACCCCTCACTTGCATCCACTCTGGGGTCAATACTTGCTATTTTATGTAACTTTTTATGTACCCATTCTCTTATCCCCTCCCCCAGGCCAGGCAATGTTCTAGGCAATGGGAGGTATGTGTGCCAGGGGAAGCCGTAAGTATTCCAGAAGGAAGCAGCATCCTCAGACAGGATCCACAAGAGAATGTTATGTAGCACCATGCACCCACCAGGATGGGTACTTTCAAAAAGAAAAAAAAAAAGCAGAAAATAACAAGTGTTGCAAGGATGTGGAGAAACTGGAACACTTGCACAATCTTGGTTGAAATGAAAATTGGTACAGCCACTATGGAAAACAGTCTAGAAGTTCCTTAAAAATTTAAAAATAGAACAACCATATAATCCAGCAATTCCACTTCTGGGGTTATACCCAAAAGAATTGAAAGCAGGGTCTTTGAGAGATATTTGCACACCTACATTTGTGGCAACATTTTTCACAATAGCCAAAATTTGGAAACAACCCAAGTGTTCATCAATGGAGGAATGGATAAGCAAAACGTGGTGTATATATATGTACACACACACAAGCTATATATATATATATATATATATATATATATATATATATATATATATATATACACATACATATATGTGGGTGTATATGTATATGTATATCACACACACACACACATATATAGTGGAATATTATTCAGCCTTGAAAATGAAATTCTGGCACATGCTACAACACAGATAAACCTCAAGGACATTATGCTAGAGAAATAAGCCAGTCACAGAAAGATAAATACTGTATGATTGCACTTTTATGAGCTTCCTGGAGTCATCAAATTCATAAAGACAAAAAGTCAAATGGTGGCTTCCAGGGGGGAGGGGAAATGGTAAGTTGTTGCTTAATGGGTAAAGAGTTTCAGTTTTGAAAGATGAAAGAGTCCTGGAGATTGATTGCATGAACATACGAATATATTTAACACTACTGAGTTGTATCTTAAAATTAATTCAAATGAAATGTTTATATTATGTGTATTTTGCCACTTAAAAAAGGAAAGGGCTATAACAGAGGTAACAGAGAATTAGGGAGTCCCCAGGGATGTAGAGTTGGGCACAAGGGGCATGTTGCTGGAGCCCAGTCAGAGACTGGGGGAGGGGCCATAGCTATAGAGGATTGTGGTCCCCATGTCACAAGGCAGGAGGAGTGGAGAAATGCCAGGGACACTGGCTCCCCCTCCCACCAGGCTCCTGCCAGCACCTCTACTGGCCACCCCCACAGGCTGGTCCCAGAGGTAAGGGGCCCAGGTGATGCAGACTCTGGGGAGCATATCCTCTTAGGGTGGTTCTGGGATGAGGGGCAATCAGCGAACAGACAACCCAGCAGTCCCCATATGCCTGGCACTGACAGTCTAATCATGGGATAGGCCACAAAGATGTAAACTTAATCTTCGATCATGCTTGGTACCATGAAGAAAATAAACCATGCACAGTGAGAGAGATGAGCAAGGAGGGAACACCCATGGAATATCAGGGAAGGACTCTGCAAAAACACCACTGAACTTCAGGCACTGTATGGGTCTGATTCTGCAGAAGATCAGAACCAATAGGATATGTGGCTATAGAGAGGGAGTGATTTATTTTAAGGAACTGGCTGGAGTGATTGTGAAGGCTGGCAAGTCCAAAATGGGAATAGCTGGAGACCCAGGAAGAGTTGATGACACAGCTCCAATCCAAAGATGATCCAAAGGCGGAAGTTCCTCTTCCTCAAGGGACTGTCTTTTTTTAAGCCATTTTATTGAGGTATGATTGGCATACAAAAAGCCACACATATTTAATGTGTACAGTTTGATGAACTTGGAGATAAGTATGCACCCCATGAAGCCATCACCACAATCCATGCATAAAACTATCCATCACCTCCAAACATTTCCTCCCACCGCTTTTATTTATTATTTGTGTATGTGTGATAAGAGCATTTAACATAATATCTATCCTCAGCAAATTTCAAGCACATAACACAGTATTGTTAACTACAGACACCTGCTGTACATCAGATCTCCAGAACTAATTCATCCTGCATAACTGAAACGTTACTTCCTTTGACAAATAACTCCCCCCTTCCCTGCTTCCCAGCCTCTGACAACCCCCACTCTACTCTGCTTCTATGAGTTTGACTGTCTAAGCTTCCTCAAGTAAGTGACATCAATCAGTGTTTGTCTTTCTGCGACTGGGTTGTTTCTCTTAACAAAATGTCCTCCAATTTCACCCATGTTATCATAAATTTAAAAATTTCCTGCTTCTTTAAGGTTGAATAATTCCATTGTATGCATATACCACATTTTCTTTATCCATTCATCCATCAATGGAAATTTTGTTCACTTCTCTGTCTTGGCCACTGTGAGTAATGAACAGGTGGGTGCAGATACTTTAATATCCTAATTTCATTTCCTTTGGGCCTGTACCCAGATATGGGAATGTTGGATCATATAGTAGTTCTAGTCTTAATTTTTTGAAGAATCTTTATACTGTTTTCCAAAGTGACTACATCAATTTACATTTCCACCAACAGTGTACAGGGGTCCCCTTTTCTCCACATCCTTACCAACACTTGTCATCTTTTCTTTCTTTGATAATAGCCATCCTAACAGGCATGATGTGATATGTCATTGTGGCTTTGATCTGCATTTCCCTGATGGTTAGTGATGGTGAGCCCCTTTTTATATACCTGTTTGCCATTTCTATGTCTTCTTTGGAGAAATATCTGTTCAGTTTCTCTACCCATTTTTAAATCAGCGGGTTTGGGGTTTTGTTTCATTTTGTTTTGTTTGTTATTCGGTTGTAGGAGTTTCTCATGTATTTTGGAATATTAACCCTTTATCAGATACACAGTTTGAAAACATTTTCTTCCATTCCATAGAATACCTTTTCATTTTTGTGATTGTTTCCCTTGCTGTGCAGAAGCTTTTGAATTGATGTAATCCCACTTGTCTATTTTTGTTTGTGTTGCTTGCGAACTCAGTCTTTTTACTCTTAGGGCCTTCAACTAATTAAATGAGGGCCACCTGCCTTATAGAAGATAAACTGCTTTACTTAAAGTCTACTGATTTTAGTGTTAATCACATCTAAAAAATACCTTCACAGAAACAGCTAGACCGGTCTACAGTCTATACATATAGCAAGCTTGCCAAGTTTGACACATAAAATTAACCCTCACAGGCACCATTTTCCACCTGAACCAGCACATATTCTTGTGTAGAGCTGTATACTTTGTTCACGCCCTGCACCTTTTTCTTTTGCAGAGAAAAAAAAAAATCCCCACTTTGCAATTGCATCTGGTCAATGAGAGGCTCTAGTTTTGGGGAAGAGGGAAACACCTAACCTTGACAGAATCATCACCAGAGACACCTGCCGGCTGACAAGGACAGCTTTCTTGGAGCCAACAGATGATGCAAGGAAATAAGAAGTGCACAGACGCGTTCAGCGACTCCTCCAGCATCGGCAGCGTGTTGGATGATGCAGACAGGGAGGTGAGCAGCCTAACAGACCGGGCATTCCGGAGTTTGTGCATCTCCGAGGACACATCCTTCCATGACTCCTATCTGGCTGTGTCCCCGGATATCACCCGACAGGTGTTTGGGACTTTTCACCAGAGAACAGTGGGCCACACCCAGAGGAAAAGTGGCATTTGGAGCCAGTTACCGTCACAGGGCACGGAACATTCGGGCTGGGCGGCCACCTTCCAACAGCTACCCAAGTACGTTCAGGGAGAGGAAAAGTACCCCAAAACCAGCCCCCCACCAACGCCAGTCCAGAGGAGACTGGAGGTGCCAGTTTCCGGCCTAAGGAGCAGCAATAAGCCTGTCTCCAAAGTATCAACACTAATTAAATCTTTCGACAGGACCGAGAGCCAACGTTGTGAGAGCAGGCCCACTGCCAGCAAGCCTCCGGCTCTGAAAAATCCTCCCAAATTCGCTCCTCTTCCAGAAAACAGTGTCAACTTCTGCTTCGATTCTGCCTTTCTGACAGTCAGGAGGGTGCCCGCTGAAGTTTCCAACACCCATCAGAACAGCTACCAGCCAGGCAGGAAGCACGGAGAACAGGAGTCCTCCAAGAATCCAGAAATGGCCTGTCACGGCTCCAGCAGCTTCCTCCCAGCAGCCAATGACACGGCCACCTTATGTGAGTCAAAGTTCCCCTCTCCACACCACAAGCCAGTCACGGGTGAGCCTGGGAGAGGCAAAGGTACCTTTCTGCACAGTGAAAATAGTGCTTTTGAGTCATGGAATGCCCACCAACCAAAGCTGCTGGAGAGAAAGGACACAGCTGGAACCGTCCCAGAAAGCAAAGCTCCCAAGCACTATGGGGACACGACCTTGCTAAGAGAACCCTGTCCTCCTGAGCGCACAGTCTCTCCCTGCCAGGTCCAGGCCAGCTGCAGTCAGGAAGAGAACAGACTTGCAGCAGGGGCTCTGTCCACATCTATACCCTGGGGGTGCAGGGATCCAGGAGCCCAGGTATTTGCTGTGGAAGGAAAAGCTCCCAGCTCACAACCTGATTCTCAAGAGAAGCCAGCCCAGCCCCCATGGAGGAAGCCAAAGACTGGCAAAAAAGGGAAAGAAAGTCTACAAGATACTTTAGAAGAAAAGACACAGACCAACCAGAGAGGCCCACCTTTGTATACAAAACACAACCCCCAGGAACAGTTTTCAGAAAACAATGCTCTTGACCTGCCTGTGGAACCCAATGAACATTATGATCCCCCCTTTAACATCAGTAAGCTCCTGACCCCCATCATACCCAGCAAGCACGCCCTGGATTCAGCAGACAGCCAGCCAGCAGAGCGAACCCCATCACCCCCAGGACAGCTAAACGGATACCAAGAGAAGGAGCCCAGTGAATGTCAGTCTCGAGACAGCTACAAGTCCAAAGCCCCTAGCCTGCTGTTCAACCTCAAGGACGTGCGGAAGCGTGTTAAGAGCACATACAGTTCCTCACCTCTCTTGAAAGTGCTTGATGAGAAAACTAGAGGTAAGGTTGATGGAAAGCAAGAACCTGTGAGCAACGGTGTCATCCTCCCCAATGGGCTTGAGGAAAGCCCTCCAAATGAGCTTTCTAAGGAGAGACCCGCTGATGACCCCACTGCATCACACATCAATCCCCAGAAGGACCCTACAGCTGACCCCAGTGAGCCCTCTGCAGACAGCTATCTAACTCTTAGCACAGCTCCGACTATCGCCAAAGCCCCCTTCTATGTCAATGGGGAGGCTGCTGAGAGAAGCAGTTATGAGAACAAGGAGGTGGAAGGAGAGTTGGAGATGGGTCCTGCCGGATCCAGCTGGTGTCCAGACTCCAGGGAACACCGCCCCAGGAAACACCTCTCCCTGAGGCTTTGCAATAGGGATCCTGAGCCTGGAGGGGCTACAGAGAAAATGAAGACCCACCAGCTAGAGAATGGGCTCTCCAGATCTGTGTCCCAAGAGACAGAACCTGAGAGGGAAGCAGGACTTCAGAACACACATTTGAACCAGAAATTCTTCCCAGGGCCCCTCTCTCCTGAGGAGGAAGATGTGTTTTACAGTGACAGCCAATCCGATTTTATGCCAAGCCTCAAAGGTAAGGCCAAATTCAGCACCAGCTCTTCAGATCAATCCTTTGCCTCATTTGATGATCAGCAGAAGATGTGGTTTACTGAGAACCAGCGGGAAGACAGGAGGAAGGATGTGAGTGCAGGTGACAGTCAGAAGGATGAGAAGGAGAATGTGATGCGGAAGGATGAGCTGCAGTACTGTGCCTTAAGCAATGGGCACGCATGCCTGGAAAACCGCAGCCAGGGGGAAGCATTGCAAAGAGAAAGGGAAAGTGTGTCTGGAGGAAGAACCAGGAAGGCATCAGCAGAGGAAGCTAATTTCAGAGGCTCTTGGATTGGGGAAAATAAGGGCACAACCTTTTCACAGGCCAAAGACCTTACTCCCTCACCATCTTCTGCTTCAAACAGGCACATGCTGTTTACGATTAAAGACAACACCCTCAGAGCTACCCCCGTAATTAAACCTATCATGCTGCCTCTCCTGAGGACCATGTCCTTGGAGGACTCCCTCAGCAGTGGCCACAAAGAGGAGGAATTGCCAAGGCCAGAATGGGGTGAGGATCCTGGGTTTTGTGCCCCCGAAAACCAGGACATTCTTGGTACATCGACACCCACTAACACACGGGGCACACGTGTGAAGTGCATGGCCAACGAGGTCATGGAGGACCCTGGGCAGGGGTCGAGCATGGCCAGGATGGAGGCCTCTCAGCCAGCCCCAAAGGGGAATTTCCCATCTATGCCTCTGGTGGGAGAGGGGGACCGGGTGAAGGCACCACCAGATGCTGCACCTGGCCTCGTGGCAAGCAATTGCAAGAGCGGTTCTGCAGACTCAGGGAAGCTGGCAGCCCCATGGCACATCCCCACCATTGCTTTACCCGAGGGTGACATAGAAGACCAGCCACCCCCATGGCAGCCCGAAAACTGTTGGGAAGAGCAAACACCAGGTTTCAAGAGTCACTTTTTGTCCACACCCAGAGCAGGGCCCCCTGGCAGAAGACTGGTCCCCAGTGAGAGGGCGAATTCCCCCAACCCCGGCTCCCCCGGGGAGAGCAGTGCCTGCTCCCCTGCTGCCAGCAACATTTGGGAGGAGTCTTCCCAGGCCCCTGGAGGACCAGAGCTGCTTCCCGAGGAGCCTAATCAAGCCAGCCCCTGGGCCAGCTCCAGTCCTGCCAGGGTCACCCGGAGGGAGGACCTGACCCACGCCCTCGTGTGGGAGGGCGGCTCTGACCCCCTACTTGAGCTGTCGGCAGAAGACCTCCGGACCCTCTCTCCAAGAGGTTCATTGCTGGATGTGGCCACCAGCCCAGCAGGCACCTCTGGGAGACTTGAGCTTCCTGCACAGCTAGAGAGGACAGCAAGCAAGCCACCTGCAGTCCCACCCAAAACAGAGAAAGCCCTGCGGCGGGCAAAGAAGCTGGCAAGTAAGAGGAGGAAGACGGATCAGGCTCAGGAGAAGCATGGCGAGTCACAGGAGGGAAAGCCCTGCCCGGAGGACTTGGAGCAGACACAGCAAAGGCCGCTGTGCCCCAGAGAGAGGCCCCGACACAATTTCCCCGTGGTCCGTTCCCTGCCCCCTCCCGTGCACCGCCACTCCGTGTCCGGCTTCTCGGAGCCTGTCGGGAGGCGGCCCGGGGGCCCCCAGTCCCTCACACCCCTGCCCGCGTACCCCGCCACCCAGAAGGTCCTCCAGGATCCGCAGTCCGGGGAGTACTTTGTCTTCGACTTGCCACTCCAGGTGAAAATCAAGACCTTCTATGACCCAGAGACGGGCAAGTATGTCAAGGTCTCCATCCCGTCCTCCGAGGGGGCCTCCCCAGAGCCGCCCCCACCGGACGCCCTGGCCGCTCCCTATGTGCTGTACCCCGGCTTCCAGCCAGTGCCCGTGACGGCCTTGATGCCGCTGCGCTGCTCCTCTCAGCTCTCCGCGCCCACCTTCCTCAGGCAGGGCCCTCGTGCCTCCGCGGCCCGCGCCAGGACCCAGAGTGTCCACGAGTCTGGACTACAGCTGGACCCAGGGCCTCACGGTGACTGCACCCCGCACTCTGCAGGCCAGCGCCCTCATGGTCCTCCCCAGAGCCCAGGAGAGGAGGGTGTAGAAGCTCCAGGCCTGGGCATCATCTCCACTGATGACCTAGAGGACTTTGCCACAGAAGGCATTTCTTGAGTTACTGCAGGCTGTCCCCCACCCCCAGATGAACCCAGAGGAGCTTACTTCCCCCTCCCCCAAAACAAGCAACACACACACACACACACACACACACACACACACACACGATCATCAACACATACTTAGCCTTTTTAGATCCATAAAGTCCAGAAGGCAGTAGGGATCCCAAGACGACCTCACCCAAAGGGCTCCCTGGCTCTCCTCTGATGGAGGGGCACTGCTTGCTTGGCCCGGTCCCCTCCGTGCCAGTTCCCAGGCGCACTCTACTCCAGCCCTTCTCCCTCCCTCCCTTCCTCCCTCTCCTGGCCCACCCTGCTCTTCCCTCGCCCTGCAAATTAGGTGGGTGTGGCAAGGGCACCGCCTGGTCCCAAGTGTCCCTCTGTACCCACACCCACCCACTCACTTGTAAGCTCCTTGATGAGCAAACCCCTAAGGCCCCCAGCTCAGACTCAGCAGGCATTCAGGTCAACTCAGGCAGACTGGCTAAGGACCAGCCCAGGGCAATTTTGCAGAAATGATCATTTGCACAGAATGGGTTTCCTTCACAGGGAGAAACTTGCCTCTGAAAGCTATTTTCTGATCAAGAAAAGGCCCACTTTTTAAAAAGTGAAACAAGTTTGCAGATACGGTTCTCTTCCTGGACTCCTGTCTTCCTTCTGTGGGCAGTAGGGGTCAGGGCTGACAGAGCCACCTCCCTGTCTACCACAGTCTGAGTCTGGCGTCCCACCTTGTCCCTTCAACACCTGTCCATGCCTTCTCAGGGCCAGGCCCTCCAGTGGGTCCTGACTGCCCTGATTTAGTAACCAGTACCTGTGCCCTCCACTCAAAAAGAAAGTGTGTTCACACCCTCACCCCCCATCAGTTCCTGACCTTTGGGGATTTGGAGGGAAGTGTTGGGATTAACTGAAGAGTTTGAGAGTTTTACCTAATGAAACGGATCCACTGGCCCAGCACAGTAAAGCCAAAATCCACACTGAGGTTTGCAGTGGGAGAAAGGAGGGTGTTTATTTGCAGGGCACCAAGCAAGGGGAATCAGGCAGCTCACGCTTAAAACCCAACCTCCCCCGTGGCTTGCAAGCATGGATTTTTAATGGCAAGGGAAATGTTCAGGAAAGCCAAAGTTACAGGTGAAATTGTAAATCAACACATGGAGGGTACACATTGGTTCGGCCTAAAAAGGCAGGATATCTTGAACCAGGGACTTACGGGTCATAGGGTGGAGTCAAACATTTTCTGAATTGCAATTGGTTAAGGAAGAGAAGCTTTGTTTTAAAATTTGGGTTAGCAGAAAGGAATGTTAGCTCTGGCTTGTGGGTGGGACTTCCCCCAGGCCCCCCAGGAAGAAATATAGAACAAAGAGCCGTGCTCAGAGTTCAGTCCTCAGCTCCCTCTTCTCTGAGGTCTCTGTGCCAGTGGATCCGTTTGGTGGGGGTCTGGGTTTCTGAAAAACAACTCGGAGTCAGAAGTTGAGATGTTCTTTTTAATTTCCAGAGGGAACAAAACACCCCAGGACTCTGGCTTCCTTCGCTGTTGTTTTAGGTTATTATTACCTTCCTGCTTATCAAGTTGTTCATTGGCTTCTTAGGGCTAGCTAAGTGCCTGGAATTTCCCTTGAAGGAAACCAAGATTTTCCTGTATTTCCATGGTTGGGGAGGGGACCCTGCTCGATCTTCAGAACAGGTGCCCTCTTGCAGGCAGCCGGCTAGGAAGGAAACCAGCACCCAGGGTATTGATAGGTTTCCATGCCACGGCTTCTACAGAAGCCTCTTAATTCTTGTTCTACTGGAAACACAGGGGCAAAACGTGCCTCCCTCTTTGTTTAGAAACCTCAGCAGCTGCCAGGACTATGCTGCCCAGGGCCCAGGGGACCATGCAAGATGCATTGTCCTTGTCCTGTTGGCAAAGGCGCCATTTCCACACTGGGAGGATGGGGAGGCATTCAGTAAACCAAGTCCCAGACTCACACAAATACAGGGGCTTTGATTTGGATTCAAGATTTTATACCTTTTTGTTTTCCCAACAAGTGCAGCCACACCTGATTTTCATTGTGAAAATACCACACAACGCCCCCTCCTTTCCTCCCAACCAATGCCATTCAATTTGGCCACACCTGTTGCCAGCCACGCAACCAGCCAGGAGTGCAAGCAGATCACTATCCCAAAATCTGGTTCCCATGAGTCGCTCACTGGGTGCAAGCGACAAGAACAAAGCTGCATTTTGGCCTGCCTCCAAATCACCTCAAGCATCCTCTCCACTTTGTTTTCATCTCACTAAAACATGAGAAGGAATATCTCATTTTGCAATTCTCAGGGTCCAAGGAAAAGAATTGTCTAACGAAGGAAGAGTCCATCTGTTCAATAAGAACCACGGTTATAGTAACTATGTCCCCACAGGAGAAAATATTACTTTGGGGAACTTATTTTGGGGAAGCGATCTTCTTCCTTAGAACCAATATTGGCAAGGCTGTGGGTAGAACTAAACACATAAAGTCTTGCTCCCAGCAAGTCAGCTAGAAGGACGCCTCACTCCCTTACAGCACTGGGCCTGTCTTCCTGAAGCACAGAATGCCTCCAGGGAACACAAGCAGAGAGTCTCCATCCAGTGAAGCCCAACTCACTAGCCAGTGATGTTTTCCTCTTTCCATTTGCTCCTGAGGGAGGTCATGTATGCCTTCTTCCTTCCTCACGCCCTCCTTCTTTCTCCCTTCCTTGTTTCCCTCCCTCTCTCCTTCTCTCTCTTCCTTTCTTCTTTCCTCCCTCCCTTTTACAAACATTTGCACTGTGCCAGGCACTTTGATGGGCGCTGATGGTACCATGACAATAAGATCTGGTCTCTGCACTCAAGGAGTTAAAATCTAACAGAGAAGAAAGATAATTACAATCCCACATGTTACGTAATTTAATAGGTTGTTCTGAGGAACACCTAACTTGCTCTGGCTTCAGGGGTTGGCACCTGAGCCAAGTCAAGAAACACAAAGCTGTCCATTAATTTATGAAAAAATTCAGAATTTCCCCAGCTTTAATCTATCAAAGATGACATTGATTAAATACTAATAGATTTGTCTTGCTATATCAAAGCATATTAATTTAGCTAACTGTTCATCAGCATTTCTAATCAGCACAAAAGCTGAACCAGTGTAGCCTCACAGGATAGACCTTGGTTGATAGGTCTTTCAGCTTCTGAATTGATATTTCACTCACAGGGGTTGCCCAGCAAAACCACTATTTCTGCCATTGTGTTTAGTAGGACAGTGGTGAGATTTATGACAACATGTTGTTTGTGGAAATTACAGATGTTGTCTGCATCTTCTGTGTAGTACCCTGGCCCTTTTCTATGAGTATGACCCCTCTAAATGTCTCCTGGGGAGAGGACATGGAGGTGGAGCACCTCCAGGAAACAGTTGAAGGTCCCGGGTTGTTCAACTAAACATGACCAAGGGCTCACATTGTCAAACATGTACCATGCGCTGGCCCATGAGTGGGGAGCTTGAGCCTGGACTTGGTCCTCCCAGCAAGCCCTTGAGAGAGGCCCTCATTAGCCTCATTTTACTGTAAAGGAAACAAAGGTGCCAAGATGGGATGTAACTGCCCACGGTCACAGAGCCACTAAGTGAGGGGCCATGCCAGGGTCTTGGGCCCCTCTTACTTCTAGGTGGACTCTTTAATACTCAACCAGTACTTCGTAAGTGCGGTCCCTGCAGCAGCAGCCTCCACATCACCAGGGGCTTGTGAGAAGTCCAGAATCCCTATCTCCATCTTCACAAGCTTCCCTGGGTGGTTGATCCATTTGTGCATTGAATTCTAAGTGCTGTCAGTCTCTGCTTAGCCTGTATAAATTTTGGGGAGGTGCACTGGATGTCTTCATGTCTCCACAGCAATGTCTTGTGCAAAGGAAGAGAGCAGCACATCTAGGTGGGGGAGTTGCAGGGAGATGATTGACACTCAATGTGAGAAAGGCATCTCTGAGGACGAGCATCATCTTTTTTTTTTTTTTTATTTGAGACAGAGTCTCACTCTGTTGCCCAGGCTGGAGTGCAGTGGCTCGATCTCAGCTCACTGCTACCTCTGCCTCCCGGATTCAAGCAATTCTCCTGCCTCAGCTTCCTGAGTAGTTGAGATTACAAGTGCGCACTACCGCACCTGGCTAATTTTTGTATTTTTAGTAGTGACGAGGTTTTGCCATGTTGCCAGGCTGGTCTCGAACTCCTGACCTCAAGTGATCCACCCACATTGGCCACCCTAAGTGCTGGGATTACAGGCGTGAGCCACGACATCCAGCCACTAGGATCGTCTTGACATTACGTCAACTGCTAGGGATAACTGAGCTCCCTGCCACTGGAAATGTACAATGGAAGCTGATGACCCCTTTCCTAAGACAAGGATGGATTCAGGTATCAGAAGGGACCTAACTATCTTTTGGGACCCCAGGCTACTTTTGGGGCTCCAGTATGCCACCGGCAAGGATGCAAGGTCTCAACAAGGAGTGGCCATAGGCACATGATGGAAAACATTTGCATACAAAAGGGGAGCTCTGTGGCAAAACCTGAACTCTGTGCATGTAGGAAACATTTTGGCCTAGATACACCATGAAGTTGAACACACCTGTTTGTACAGGTCTTCCAAATCATTCAGATGTGAAGTCCAAAGTGAGTGGAGCAAACTCGGAGCCACATCCCTGAGCTTGTCACCACCAGAGTCTTGTTTAGGCTTCCTCAGTGTCACCTCACAGAGCCGCCTGAGCAGAGGGGTCTTCCCTTCCACCAGGTGGATGGGTGGGCTCCTCCCTTAGCTGCTGGCTTCTAGCAGAATGCTCCAGCCTGCCTGGGCCTCAGAATCATCTGTGCACTTGTTAACACTTGTTATTCATCCCAGCCCTATTTCCAATTCACCTCATCAGATTCTCCAAGTGTGGGAAAGAGTCAATGCAGAGGTGCAAATTCCCGGGAGTTTCTGGTTAAACCAGTCTCACAAATGCCACTCCAGAGCACAGTTCCACATCTGGGCCCCACATACTGGCCAGGAGCTGCCAGGCCCAGAGTTCTGCTCAGGGGAAACACCCTCCTGTGGAAGGTTATGTGGAGGTAGGACCTGGGGCAAGAAGAACTCAGAGGCACTACTTTCTTCATGTGGAAGCGGTGAATGGGGAAAGGTATGACAGCCCTTGAGGGCCACCCAGTGCAGCCTCCAGCCCTGCGCAGAGCCACCTGGCCTGCTTCCTGCTGCCACACCTTCCTCTCCTCCTCCAGGTGTGCCCCAAAGCTCTATCAGGAGGCTACTCTTCCACAGAAGGGAGGAGGGGCATTGTTAGAAATAAAGACTTCCCTTTGAAGGAAAGTTCAAACTTTCCCTCTGAAGGTTCCATAATTGAATCTGCTGAGATAAACTGACAATAGACAGATTAACCAGAGAAAAGGCCTACAAATTTATTAACATGCAAGCCCAGGGGAGTTGCACGAAGTGTGCAACTCTAAGAAGAACCAGATGGTTGAAACTTAAATATCCTCTTTGTAGAGGAGAGGGAGTTGGGGGTTGCAATTCTGAGGAAGAGTAAATGATTTTTTAGGGAAGATAAATGGGTCCAAAGAACAGACAATGGCCTAGAGCAAAGTTCCCCTGGGTCCCGGGTGTGGTATCCACTCCAGTCGTCTTTCCAAGCCTTCTTTCCTGTAAGTTCATCTCTGTTTGACAAGCTAGGGAAGGGAGTCCAAGACAACTGCATTCCTTCTGGAGGAACTTCCCTTAGTCAAGAAAGCCCCTCCTTGCCCTTCGGGAGAGGCAAAGAGGTGTGGGACAGGGTCTAGAGAAGGTCAGAGGGACCTTGGTTCTGGGGCTGCTTCTTCAGTTCAAAGTATTCAGCATGTCAACGCACCACACTTTAGGGTAACACTTTAAACTGGGTGAAGCCTGGGGCTCTGACCTACGCAAGTAGATGTCCGAGGATGAAGGTGCTCCACTAACCACTATCCCCAAACAGGGAGTTAACCTTCTTGTGCTCATCATTTGCCAAACTGTGGTTTAGTTTTTAAGTCTTTGCACTGTCTCAGAATTTTTCTCGAGCCTCAGCTTGCTCTGGGCACTGTCACATGGATGCCATTTCCCTGGGTCCTTGTCTGGCATCAGTCCTGCTCCTGGGTCCCAGCCCCAACTCCCACCGCTTGTGGCCATCCTTCCTGAGCTTCAGAGCCCTCCCTTAGGCCCCTTCATGAGAACATTGTCAGCACCTGCCTTCCTGTCATTCGTGATCATTCTTCTATTTTCCTCTGAATTTGGAAACCTTTGGCTCGTGTGGTCCTCTTTCCCATTTACAAAGGCCATATACGTCACCAGTCTCCTTTGGCATTCCCGTGCTTTTACCAGCCCATTCCTCCTCACTGATGTAGCCTGAAAAAGTCAGCAGGCCAAGTCAATAGTTAATCGAACAGTTGGCTTCTAGCAGAGACTGCCAGCCAGTGCTGACAGAAGTGGAGACCTCGTTGCTGCTTTCTTGCACTTGTAGTCTTCATGTACTTGTGTGAGGAGTGACCCCTGCACAGGGCAAGGTGATCGCAGTGCCCCCACCCCCCATCTGTCCTGACTCACACACAGTTACTACATCTCCATGCACAGGGCAAGTTGATCTCAGTGGGCGCCCCCATCTGTTCTGACCCACACACAGTTACCACATCTCCACTGTCCAATGTGCTGGTTTCCCAAAAGGCGGATACCTCTTGATTGAAACCTTTAGACCAATGCTCCACATCACTAATCATTAGGGAAATGTAAATCAAAACCACAATAAGATACCACCTTATACCCAATGGATGGCTACTATCAAAAAGAAAATGGAAAATAGCAAGTGTTGGCGAGGGTGTAGAGAAATTGTACACTGCCTGGTGGTCCAAGCCATAGTCCTGGTTGCCATCCCACCTGCTCCCAATCTCTTGCCCCCAATTCAGTTAGGCCCCAAACCTGTCAATTATACCTCCAGGTATTTATCAGTCCATCATCCATCTGCACCCACCATCATCCCTCACAGGACTGTTGCTGGCATCTCTTCACTGCTCCCACTTCTATTATGACCTCCTTCTCAACTGCTCCCACAGGGTAGCCTGAGGTCCTGATTAATGCACCTTCCTGATCCAGGAAGTACCAAAATGTTCCTGCTCACCTCAGGATAGAGCTGGGCTCCAGGGCACAGCTTGCAAGGTCATCATGCATTGGAGTCTCCATCCTCTCCAGCCTCATCGCCTGCCTGTCCCTACAGCTTCTTTACACCTCGGCTTCCCGGAGCTTCTCCGAGATGACCAAACAGACCATTTCCAGCCCTTTCCACATGCCCTTTTTTCTGCGGCTGTGTTAAACTCCCCCTGCCTCAGAAGGTGAGAAACTTTGACCCCCTCCGTCAAAGGTGGGGAAACACCATGCCACTTCTGCTGGTCCTCTGGGATACACACTCCTGAAGTCCCAGTGGCCACAGACGCAGTCTGTGTATCCTAGGTCACTCCACCATAAGGAAAGCCACATCAGCCCATATGGAGAGATGGTCTGGAGGGGCCCTGGGACCATATGTACGAGAGGGTATACTAGGCTGGTTTTGTGTGTGTGTGTTTTTTGGTTTTTTGGTTTTCTGTTTTTGTTTTTGTTTTGAGAAGGAGTCTCATTCTTTGCCCAGACTGGAGTGCAGTGGCTCAATCTTGGCTTATTGCAACCTCCGCCTCCTGGGTTCAAGCGATTCTCCTGCCTCAGCTTCCCGAGTAGCTGGGACTACAGGCAGGAGCCACGATGGCCAGGTAAGTTTTGTATTTTTAGTAGAGTTTCACCATGTTGGCCAAGCTGGTCTCGAACTCCTGATCTCAAGTGATCCACCCACTTCACCTTCCCAAATTGCTGGGATTACAGGTGTGATGATTGCTATAAAGAAATACCTGGGGCTGGGTCATTTATAAAGAAAAGAGGCTTAATTGGCTCACAGTTCTGCAGGCTGTACAGGAAGCATAGCGGTATCTGCTTCTGGACAGTGGGGTGGGGGATCTAAGGAAGTTTCCAATCATGGCAGAAGGCAAAGCAGGGGCAGGCACGTCACATGGCAAAGGCAGAAGCAAGAGAGAGAGTGGTGGGGGAGATGCCACACACATTTAAGTGACCAGATCTCACAAGACCTCACTATCATGAAGACAACACCAAGCCATGAGGGATCTGCCCCCATGACCCAAACACTTCCCACCAGGCCCCACCTCCAACACTGAGGATTACAATTCAACATGAGATTTGGGTGGGGACATATATTCAAAGCACATCAGAAGGAGAGGTGGCCAGCCAGTTAGGCATGCTCATCCATACTGTTTCAGCTCCATCCATGGGCTGACAGAGACCAGGTTCCTGACTCACAAAGCTGTGAAAAGCAATGAAGATTGTTGTTATTTTTACTCTAAGCCACTAGGTTTTGCAGTGCTTTATGACACAGCAACAGATAACCAGAGCCCTCTCTTTCTCCCAGTCTCCCTTCCCTCTCTACCCTCACACAGTCCCTGAAACCTCACCCTTTTCCAGCCTTCTCTTGTCCACTCCCTGTGGGTCCTGACCTACAGCCTTCTCTTGACTACTTCCTGTGGGTCCTGACCTACAGCCTTCTCTTGTCTGCTTCCGGTGGGTCCTGACCTGCAGCCTCCTCTTGTCTACTTCCTGTGGGTCCTGACCTACAACCTTCTCTTGACTACTTCCTGTGGGTCCTGACCTACAACATTCTCTTGACTACTTCCTGTGGGTCCTGACCTGCATAGAGCCTTCTCTTGACTATTTCCCTTGAGTCCTGACCTACATACAGCCTTCTCTTGACTACTTCCTGTGGGTCCTGACCTACAGCCTTCTCTTGACTACTTCCTGTGTATCCTGACCTACAACATTCTCTTGACTACTTCCTGTGGGTCATGACTTACAGCCTTCTTTTGTTCACTTCTTGTAGGTTCTAACATACAGCCTTCTCTTGTCTGTTCCCTGTGGATTCTAATCTACAGCCTTCTTTTTTCTAAATTATATGGATCCTAATCTTACAACTTTCTCTTATTTACTTCCTAAGGATCCTAACTTTATAGCCCTCTCTTTTCTACCTCCTGTGGATCCTAACCCTACAGCTTCCTTTTGTCTGATTTCTACACATCCTAACCTTACAGTCTTTAATGTCTTATTTCTACAGATCCTAATCTTACAGCCCTCTCTGGCCTAATTCTTACAGATCCCAACCTTATAACCTTCTCTTGTCTAATTCCTCCAGAGTTTAACCTTGCAGTCTTTTCTAATTTCTAGAGACCCAAAACAGATAGCCTTCTCTTGTATATCTATTATGTACCTTAAAGTACCCTGATTAGATGTCATGTCCCTCTAGGAGGCTGTCCCTGATGCCTTAACTCCTAACCACGCACCTCACTTTCTTAGTCCACCAGCACTGTGTACTTCTCCCATCATTGGACATATTGTCATTGCCTATTTAAGTGTTTGTCTTCCTAACTCAGGCAATGGTCAGTTTTGGAGGAAGCAATCTTGCCTATCCACATCATGTTGTATCCCTAGAGGCTAACACAGTGCCAGGTACAAGGTAGGCAACTAGTAAACATCTTTCGGCTCTTATGATGAGTTTTTATTTTCTTATTTTAAATTGTTGGGTTGAAGCCAGTAAAAAGAATTTTTTGGAAGAGCAACCAATGCCCTATTGATTGTGTTTCTTCACTTTACCCAACTAGCTGTTGGACACCATGTAGATGAGCTCCGGTTCCAAGTCACAGTGAGCGCTTTCCCCCAAACCCCCATGTGGTTTCTAGACTGAACCCCACAGATGGGATCTCAGGTATCCAAGAACAGGCATCCTGCAATGTAACCCCTATGTAAGTACTTACATCTAACTAATGTTCTTTGATGAGAAATGTCATGCCTGCCAAGAAAAGGAGGCCAAAAGTCTTGCCCAGCACTCACAACAACATCCAAAGCTCAAATTAGAAATGAAGTATTATTTGGTTTTGTTACGATGAAATGATGAAGACATTAGGCAAATTGTATTAAGTGAAAGTGGTGGATATGCCTGAATTCTGTGTTTATTACCACAGGGATAATTCAGCTTCAGACTACAGTCTTCATTGTGTTTGTTTACCAAGTGGGAGGGCCAGGTTAGTACAGATGTGCTTTTAACTTTTAAGTCACCTAAGAAAAAACAGGGGTGCTATTCTTCAGGACCAGGAGGGTAAATTAAGATAGTTATTTTATTTCTCTTCTCATTCAATCCAATGAATCTGTCTAATTTTAGTTTCATAGATGGAGAAATAAATATTATCACAGGAAAAATGACTCCAAAAGGTAAACGGCATCACTACCCAAAACATCCACACACACGTTTAAATCTGTGGGTAGAATTTGAACATTATGAAGCACAGAGGAGCTTTCAAAACTTCTAGAGCATCTAAAGGATGCTTTACATGTTCATATCTCAATCAATTTTTCTATGAGTTTTTGAAACAGGTGGCTTTAAAGGTCAAATCGGGTGGCTTTTAGGAAGTCAAATTAGCCACTAGGAGTTTTTTAATGTCCCAGAAAATTCCAACAGCTTCCTTTGAGCAAGTTCTTGAGGCTCCAAAAACTTTAAACCAGCTGACCCAGCTAAATGAATTTGTTGAAGGAACCCAGACCACTCTGAGTTCCTACAGCATATTATCATTGCTGACAAGGATGGGCCCATCCAGCTCCCACACTCTGCAAGGGTCAGGGGTGGGGCAGAAGCCGCCAGAAGCAAGGAGAAAGTAGGAAGAAATTCCCTCCAAAAAATGCCCACATCATATTACAATCTAGTCTCAGTCCTCCAGACTGTTGGCAGAAGATGCTAAAGGCTATGGTTTGATTATGGCCCCTAAAGTCTATGTGTTGGCAATTTATTGCCCAATGCAACTATGTTGAAAGGTGGGACATTTAGGAAGTGATTAGGTCATGAGGGCTCTACCCTCATGAATGGATTAATACTGTTACCTCAGGAGTGGGTTCCTGATGAAAGGATGAGTGTGGCCCCCGTTCCTCTCTCACATACATGGCCCCTGAGCCAGGTGATGCCTTCTGCTATGCTATGATGCTGCAAGAAGGCCCTTAGCAGATGCAGCCCTTGATCTTGAACTTCCTAGCCTCCAGAACTATAAGCCAAATAAACTCTATTGTTACAAATTATCAAGTCTGTGGTATTTTGTTATAGCAGCACAAAATGGACTAAGAAGCTAAGGGTAAGGGTCTTTCTAAGTAAACCTGAGCCCTATGTTGATGGCTGTAGAGAGGATTTACTAGGTATGAGTCTTTCCTCTCTGCCACTTAGGCAGGGACTCCAGCAACCCAGGTGAGATGTGTCCTTTCAAGGTATCATCATCAGTAGACCCATAAAATTGGGTCATTCTGATTTACGCCAAAAGCCTTTTCAAATTTTAATGGGAATTTTGTATCAAAAGGATATGAATAATTTTATCATACTCCATGAATAAGCTCTTAGCTGAATTTACCAGTCACTAAAATTAACCACCAAAACTAACTGAACTATACATCACAAAGGCATGTCTCTTCTGTCTTCCCTTCCTTCTGCATGAAAAAACTAAACAATTTTTAGATATTGGGCAATAGGCAGCATAGGACTGGAATCCTGAAGAGAGGGCACAAGCACAAGGTAAGTCCCAGGATTTTACCAGCTTATTATCTGAAGGAAGTTTTCAGGCTGCGATGCAGGGAGGGGAAACCCAGCAAGAGCCTGGTGGTTTGTCTTTGTAGCCACAGAGATCAGAGTTTGAAGAGACCCAAAAAGCCAGAATCTGCAGGGCAGAATACTGGGGAGAAGGAAGCGTCACAGAAGGAAAGCTTTGGAAATATGCAGAGGGGTCTTCTCAAGTCTTGGGCTTAGTAGTGATATACATATATGTGAGAAGAAACTGCTAGGAAGTGAAGTACCAGTAATGCATATGCAGAATAATCCCCAGGGCTCATACAAAGCTGGGAATAGTTCATGTCCCACCCATCAGAGTGGAAATACCTCACAAGACACAGGTCATTGACTAGAATCTTCAGAAGGGTATCACTTTGGAATGAAGCTAAATAAGTCTTAGAATAAAGGCTTACTGGCTCTACCTTTTAGAAAGCTTGAAAGCAAGCTTGAAATCTGCAGTGTCCTATAGGGTAGCCACTAGCCAAATGTGGCTGTTTTAAATGAAATGAAATTCAAAGTTTAGTTACTCAGTTGTACTAGCTAAATAAAAAGTGTTCACAAGACACATGTGAGTAGTGGCTATCCTTCTGGACAGTTTATAGAACATTTATCAAAATAAGTTCTAAAGGATCCAACTAACTTCAAGTAACTTAGTTGTTCACCATACAAAATATGACTCCATTTAGAAGAATACAACAAAATCCAGCAATTTTCAGTAGCCAATCAAATATTACCAGGCATGCAAAAAGCAGAAAAACACAACTCATAATCAGGTAAAAGAATTCACTCAATAGAAACATACCCTAAATGAAAGAAATAATAAACAACCAGACAAAGGCATTCAAACAACTATAATAAACATGTTCTATACATTCCAGAATGTAGAGAAAAACATGAGCATGGTAAGGAGACAAATGTAAGATATAAGAAATAATCCAAATGTAACTTCTGGAGATAAATATTACAATATCTGAAATGAAGAATATACTGGATCAAATTAACAGCAGATTAGACAATTAGAAGAAAATGCCAGTGAACTAGAAGATATAGCAAGAGAAACAATATAAAATAAGACACATAGAAAAGAACTTTTAAAAAGTTAATAGCATTAGTGGCTTGTGGGACAATATCAATGGGTTTAATATACACTTAATTGGAATAAAAGTGAGGAAGAAAGAGATAAGGAAAAAAATTCAAGAAATAATGGTTGATTTTTTCCAGATTTGGTGATATAGTTTGGATGTCCCCTCCAAATCTCATGTTAAATTGTAACCCCCAGTGTTGGAAGTGAGGCCTGCTGGGAGGTGATTGGATCATGGGGCGGATCCCTCATGGCTTGGTGCCATCCTCACAGTAGTGTGAGTGAGTGAGTACTCATGAGATCTGGTTGTTTAAGTTTGTGGCACCTTTCCTCCCCCACTCGCTCTTGCTCCTGCTCTTGCCATGTGATGTGCCTGCTTACCTTTTGCTTTCCACCACAATTGTAAGCTTCCTTAGGCCTCCCCAGAAGCCCTGCAGATGCAGGTGCCATGCTTCCTTTACAGCATGCAGGACTGTGAGCCAAATAAACTTCTTTTCTTTATAAATTACCCAGTCTTAGGTATTTCTTTTTTTTTTTTTTTTTTTTTTTTTGAGACGGAGTCTCGCTCTGTCGCCCAGGCCGGACTGCGGACTGCAGTGGCGCAATCTCGGCTCACTGCAAGCTCCGCTTCCCGGGTTCACGCCATTCTCCTGCCTCAGCCTCCCGAGTAGCTGGGACTACAGGCGCCCGCCACCGTGCCCGGCTAATTTTTTGTATTTTTAGTAGAGACGGGGTTTCACCTTGTTAGCCAGGATGGTCTTGATCTCCTGACCTCATGATCCACCCGCCTCGGCCTCCCAAAGTGCTGGGATTACAGGCGTGAGCCACCGCGCCCGGCCAGGTATTTCTTTATAGTGATGTAAGAATGGCATAACACAAATTTGGTAATAAATATATATCCAGAAATCCAAGAAGTTCAACAAATGCTATGCAGAATAAATCTGAAGACAACCATGCTAACTAACCAGTGATTAAGAGAAAATTTTTAAAGTGGCTCTAGGAAAAGAAGACATATTGCGTTCGAAAGATCAAAGATAAGAATCACAACAGACCTATCACCAGAATCTATGCAAGTAAGAAGACAGTGTAGCAACATCTTTAGAGTATTAAAAGAAATACTCTGCCAATGTGTAATTGTTTGGCCAGCAAAAATGTCATCCAAAAATAAAGATTAAATAAAATCAGACAAAAAATTCTAGGACAACTTATCTCTGGAAGATATGTACCTCAAGAAATATAAAAGTAAGTTCTTTAGGCAGAAGGAAAATGATATCTGATGGCAAGCTGAGAATCTGAATATACACTAGAGATTAATGAACCATAAAAATGGGAAATATGTGGGTAAGTAAAACAGCCATTTTTTTACATTTAGCATACTTAAAGATATTTGTTTAAAGCAAAAATAATGTCAACGCATGTGGGATTTATGTAAACAGAAACAAAATATATGTCAACAATAGCACAAGGGATAAAAGGAGGTAGACAAAAATATTGTTGTAAGGTTTTTATGAGAAGTATGATAATATTGGAAGGTTGTTTTAAATTAAGGATTAAATTGTAAATTCTAGAGCAACTAAAAAAAAAAAACATGAGATTAAACCAAGAGTGGAGTGAAATGAAATTATAGAAAATAATGTTTCCAAAAGAAGAGAGGGAAACACAGAAAAAAGAAAGAAAGAGGATATGAGACAAATATCAAGATGGTAGATTTAAATCCAAAATAGATAACTATATTAAACATAAATGAGAGACAGAGATGGTCAGATTAGATTGAAAAAGAAAAACCCAATTATAACCTGTCAATAGACATTCAAATTCAATGTAAAGTCACAAACAGTTTTAAAAGTAAAAGCATAGAAAAAGACATGTTATGCTAACACCAATAAAAATAAAACTAACTTGCCTACATCAGAATTGAACAAACAGGCTTCAGAGAAACAAATATTACAAAGAGTGAAGGTGATAATATAGGGGTCCTAAGTAAAAACAAAGCTTCAAAATACATGAGGTGAAAACTTATAAAATGACAAGGATAAATTTAAAAAATTGTAGTCAAAGTGTATTAGTCCATTCTTGCACTGCTATAAAGAAATACCTGAAGGCTGGGCACAGTGGCTCACACCTGTAATCCCAGCACTTTGGGAGGCCAAGGCAGGCAAATAACTTGAGGCCATGAGTTCAAGACCAGCCTGGGCAACATGGCCAAACTCCATCTCTACTAAAAAAAAAATGCAAAAATTAGCTGGGTGTGGTGGCACGTGCCTGTAATCCCAGCTACTCAGGAGGCTGAAGCACAGGAATCGTTTGAACCCAGGAGGCAGAGGTTGCAGTGCGCCGAGATCATACCACTGCGCTCCAGCCTGGATGACAGAGTAAGACTCCATCTCAAAAAAACAGAAAAAAAAAAAAAAAAAAAAAAAGGTATACCTGAGACTGGGTAATTTATTTTTTTAAAAAAGAGCTTCAATTGGCTCATGGTTCTGCAGGCTGTACAGGAAGCATAGCAGCTTCTGCTTCTGGAGAGGCCTCAGGAAGCTTCCAGTTACAGTAGAAGGCAAAGGGGAACAAATGTCTCACATGGCAGGAGAAGGAGCAATAGAAAGGTTGGGGGTAGGTACTACACACCTTTAAACAATCAGACGTCATAAGAATTCATTCACTATCCCAAGAACAGCATCAAGGTAGTGTTAAACTGTTCATGAGAAACTGCCCCCATGATCCAATCACCTTCCACCAGGCCCCACCTCCAACACTGGTGATTACAATTCGACATAAGATTTGGTGGGAACACAGACAAAACCATATCACAAAGATTTCAACATCAGTCTCTTAATAATTGATACAAGTAGACAGAAAATCAGTAATGATATAGAAGACTTGAAAAACACCATTAACCAACTTGATCTTACTGACATTTATATAGCACTTCAACCAACATCATAAAAATATTCTTTTCAAGTGCACATAGAATATTTACCAAGATAGGCCATATTCTGGGTCATAAAGCAAATCTCAATAAATTTTAAAGGGTTCAAACAATAAAAAGCATGTTCTCCGACCAAAAGAAAATTAAATTAGACATCAATAGCAGAGATGGAGGGGCAGAGCAAGATAGCAGAATAGAAAGCTCCACCAATCATCACCCCTGCACGGACACCAATTTAACAACTATTTACACAGAAAAAAACACCTTCCTAAGGACCAAAAATCAGGTGAGCACTCATAGTACCTGGTTTTAACTTCATATCACTGAGATAGACACTGAAGAGAGAAAAAACAGTCCTGAATTGCCATCACCACTCCTCCTCCACCCCGGCAGTGGCTTGGTACAGACAGCCTCTCCAGGCCCTTGGGGAGGAAGAACATAAAAACTGTGAGGCACTGAACTTGGGACTATTCTGTTAGAACAGAAAGGAAAACCAGACCAAACACAGCTGACACCCACCCACAGAAGGAGCATTTAAACCAGCCCTAGCCAGAGGGGAATTGCCTACCCCAGCAGTCCAAACGTGAGTCCCTGCAAACCTCACTACTGAGGGCTACACTACTCTGTGCCTCCAAGTAAACTTGAAAGGCAGTCTATGCCATAAGGACTGCAATTCTTAGGTGAGGCCTGGTGCTGAACCAGACCCAGAGACAGTGGACTGGGGGAGCATGAGACATACTGAGACACCAGTAAGATAAAGGGATCAATTTAGCAAGAGGATTTAACCATTTTAAATATATATGCACCTAACACAGGAGCATCAGATATATAAAGGAAGTATAATATGAGCTAAAGAGAGAGATAAGCCCAATACAATAATAGCTGGAGACTTCAACACCCGACCCTCAGCATTGGGCAGATTATCCAGAGAGAAAATCAACAAATAAACATCAGACTTAATTTGCACTATAGACCAAATGGATCTAATAGATATTTACAGAACATTTTATCCAAGAGCTGCATAATACACATTATTTTCCTCAACACATGGATCATTCTCAATAGACCATATGTTAGGTCACAAAACGAGTCTTAGAACATTCAGAAAAATTGAAATAATATCAAGCATCTTCTCTGACCACAATGGAATAAAACTAAAAATTAATAACAAGAGGAATTTTGGAAACTACACAAATGCATGGAAATTAAACATGCCCCTGAATGGCCAGTGAGTCAGTGAAGAAATTAAGAAGGAAATTGAAAAATGTATTGAAATAAATGATAATGGAACCACAACATACCAAAACCTATGGAATACAGCAAAAACAACACTAAGAGAAAAGTTTATAGCTGTAAATGTTTCCATCAAAAAAGAGGAAAAACTTCTAATAAGCAATCTAATGATGCATCTTAAAGAATAAAAAAACCAAGAGCAAACCAAACCCAAGATTAGAAGAAAAGAAATAATAAATATCATAGCAGAAATAAATGAAACTGAAATGAAAAAATATAAAAGATTAATCAAACAAAAAGTTGATTTTTTTGAAAAGTTAAATGAAATTGACAAACCTTTAGCCAGACTAAGAAAAAATAAGACAAGATCCAAGTAAATAAAATCGGAAATGAAAAAGGAGACATTACAACCGATACTGCAGAAATTCAAAGGATCATTAGTGGCCACTATGAGCAACCATATACCAATAAGTTGGAAAATCTAGAATAAATGGACAAATTCATGTAAACATACAACTTACCAAGACAAAATCAGGAAGAAATCCAAAACCTGCACAGATCAATAATAAGTAATGACATCAAAGCCATAACAAAAAGTATCCCAGTAAAGACAACCCCAGGATCTGATGGCTTCACTGCTGAATTCTACCAAACAGTTAAAGAAATAATATCAATCTTACTCAAACTATTCCAAAAAATAGAGGACGGAATACTTCCAAACTTATTCTATGAGGCCAGTATTACCTTCATACCAAAACCAGACAAAGACACATCAGAAAAAGAAAACTACAGGCCCATATCTCTAATGAATATTGATGCAAAAATCCTCAACAAAATACTAGCAAATCAAATTCAACAATGCATTAGAAAAATCCTTTATCATGACCAAATGGGATTTATCTCTGGGATGCAAGTATGGTTCAACATACATAAATCAATCAGTGTGATACATCATATCAATAGAATGAAGGATAAGAACCATTTGATCATTTCAATTGATGCTGAAAAAGCATTTGATAAAATTCAATACCTCTTTATGATAAAAATTCAAAAAATGAGGTTTAACAGAACATAACTCAACATAATAAAAGCCGTATGTGACAGACCCACAGCTAGTATCATACTGAATGCAGGAAAACTGAAAGCCTTTCCTCTAAGATCTAGAACACAGCAAGGATGTCCACTGTCACCATTATTACTCAACACAGTACTAGAAGTCCTAGCTAGAGCAGTCAGACAAGAGAAGGATATAAAGGGCAACCAAACTGGAAATGAGGAAGTCAAATCATCCTTGTTTGTAAATGATATGGTCTTATATTTGGAAAAACCTAAAGACTCCACAAGAAAACTACCAGAACTGATAAACAAATCCACTAAAGTTGCAGGATACAAAATCAACATACAAAAATTAGTAGCATTTCTATACGCCAATAGTGAACAATGTGAAAAGGAAATTTTAAAAAATAATCCCATTTACAATAGCCACACATAAAATTATATACCTAGGAATTAACTTAACCAAAGAAGTGAAACGTCTCTATAATGAAAACTATAGAATACTGATGAGAGAAATTGAAGAGGATACAAAAAAATGGAAAAATATTCCATGTTTGTGAATTGGAAGTATCAATATTGCTAAAACATCCATACTACCCAAAGCAATCTACAGATTCAATGCAGTCCTTATCAAAATACCAATGACATTCTTCACAGAAATAGAAAAACCTAGCATTAAATTTACGTGTAACCACAAAAGATCCATAATAGCCAAAGCTATCCTAAGCAAAAAGAACAAAACTGAAGAAATCACATGACCTGACTTCAAATTATACTACAGAGCCATAGTCACCCAAACAACATGCTACTGGCATAAAAACTGACACATAGATCAAGGGAAAAGAATATAAAACCCAGAAACAAATCCACACAGCTACAGTGAACTCATTTTTAACAAAGGTGACAAGAACATACACTGGGGAAAAGACAGTCTCTTCAATAAATGGTGCTGGGAAAACTGAATATCCATATGCAAAAGAATGAAACTAGACCCCTGTCACTCACTATATACAAAAATCAAATCAAAATTGATTAAACATTTAAATCTAAGACCTTAAACTATGAAACTACTACAAGAAAACATTGGGGAAAATCTCCAGGACATTGATCTGAGCAAAAATTTCTTGAGCAATACCCCGAAAGCACAAGCAAACAAAGCAAGAATGGACAAATGAGAATTGTCCATCAAATTAAAAACTTCTGCACAGCAAGGAAACAATCAATGAAGTGAAGGGAAAAACCCACAGAATGGGAGAAAATATTTGCAAACTACCCATCTGACAAGGGATTAATAAGCAGAATATACAAAGAGCTTAAACAACGCTACAGGAAATAATCTAATAATCTGATCAAAAAATGGGCAAAAGATGTGAAGAGACATTTCTCAAAAGAAGACATACGAATGGCAAACAGGCATATGAAAAGGTGCTCAACATCATGGATCATCAGAGAAATGCAAATCAAAACTACAAGGATGCCTGGCATGGTGACTCATGCCTGTCATCCCAGCACTTTGGGAGGCCGAAGTGGGTGGATCGCCTGAGGTCAGGAGTTTGAGACCAGCCTGGCCAATATGGTGAAACACCATCTCTACTAAAAATACAAAAATTAGCCGGCTGTGGTGGCATGCACCTGTAGTCCCAGCACTACTCCAGAGGCTAAAACAGGAGAATTGCTTGAACCCAGGAAGCGGAGGTTGCAGTGAGCCAAGATCATGCCACTGCATTCCACCCTGGCCACAGAGCAAGACTTCGTCTCAAAACAAACAAACAAAAAACAACAACAACAACAACAACAAAAACTACAATGACGTATCATCTCACCCCAGTTAAAATGACTTTTATCCAAAAGACAGGCAATAACAGATGCTGGCAAGGATGTGGAGAAAAGAAAACCATGTACACTGTTGGTGAGAATGTAAATTAGTACAACCACTATGGAGAACAGTTTAAAGATGCCTCATAAAACTAAAAAAAAGAACTACCATACGATCCAGCAATTCCACTGCTAGGTATGTACCCAAAAGAAAGGAAATCAGTATATTGAAATGATGTCTGCTCTCCCATGTTTAATGCAGCACTGTTCACAATAGCCAAGATTTGGAAGCAACTTAAGTGTCCATCAACAGACAAGTGCATAAACAAAATGTGGCACCTATACATGATGGAGTAGTATTCAGCCATAAAAAGAATGAGATCCTCTCACTTGCAATAGCAAAAGTAGATTTTAGAAGAAGGAAAAAATAGAAACATTTCAGAATGATAAAGGAGCCAATTAATCAAGAAGACACAATAATCCTGAATGTGCATGTGCCTAACAACAGAGTTCTAAAGTTCATGAAGTAAAGTCTAAATAAAACAGCATCACCTACCCATCAAAATGGAAAAATCATCAATTCTGACAAATCCCAAGTGTTGACAAGAATAGGGAGTTATGGGAATTCTAGTAGACTGCTTGACAGAACATTAATTCATACAAACACTGTATTAGTTATCTATTGATACATCACAAAATACCAAAAACATAGTGGCTTTAAAAAAAGTCACCTTACTTCCTCACACTATCAAGGTTCAGGAATGCAAGAGTGGCTTAGCTGCATATTCCAGGTTAGCGTAACTCATGAGATTGAGGCAAGATGTCAGCTAGGGCAGCATTTGTTGGGGCAGCATTTGTCTGGCCTTCCTCAGTCAAGGGGTCTGAGAGAAGGTATCCCCCAGTCACCACCTCTCACTGAAGGAGATCCCCGAAGACATGCAACCAAAGCATGCCAGAGTAACAAACAATTACCCAACTCCTACTCCGCAGAGGCAGCTCACAGTCACTACCGAAGAGAGGCCCCACCTATGAGGAGCTAAGGCACAGGCTTAAAATCAGATTGTCTGGGTTCACATTCCCACCAGACTACCACTTACTCAGTGATTGGGCAGGCCACTCTGACCCTCAGTATCTTCATCTGTAAAATGAGGATCATTCTAATCCCAACCTCATACAATGGTGATGAGGATTAGGTGAGTTAGTATGCCCAGGGTCTGGCACCCACTAAATGTTCACAAGTGTCAGGCACTGTCACCATCACTTTCTGGTTCCTTTGGCCACAGGCCCTCACTGCTCAGCAGAGGCTTATTGTCCAGTGATGGCCCTGAGAGCCTAGCAGGGCTAAGCCAGGGGCAGGACCCCTCCCAATCCTGGAGGCTGAGAAGGTCACTGCTCGCTGCACTTCCTCCCACAACACGGGCTTGAAAAAGTTGCAAGAAGACCTCCAGGAGCACAGGGCTTCTCAGAACCTGGTGGAGGCTCTGGATTCTGCAGCAGCTGCAGTTGTAGCTCATGCACAGGGAAGGCCCAAGTTTAATAAAGGACGGAATTAGATTCAGATGACCAAGCAAATGAGACTTAATTGGAAAGTTACTCCCTCCTTCCTTGCACCAACTCCAAGAACATAATCTGGTGAAGCAATCGTGGCAGAAGTGGCCATGGCCTCTGAGGAGCATCTCTACTTTGGGGATGGTGCTCAAGGCTTAGGGCTCAGACCCTGAGCAGAGAACCTCCTCATGTTGTCTGTGAGCAATGCTGGCTGTGAGATATAGGCTGGTGCTCTGCTTGAAGCTCCCAGGCAGGCCCTGGACTGCACAGCACCTGTGTGAGAAAAGCCAGAGGGATTCAGACTCCTAGAGTTCCTGGCATGGGAAGTGTCATACCAGGCTTTGCAGTGGCCACCAGCATCCCCCACCCATGAGGGCTTCCCATTCCTAACCACCTCTCTGTCTCCTATCACCCAAGTCCATCATCCCAGCACTGCCAGGCTCCCCTGCCCTATTCCTCTTCATTACTTTTTCCCCAGTGCTTGTCACCTGCCAACATACCATGTGTCTTAGTTTGTGTTGCTATAACAGAACACCTGAGACTGGGCAATTTATAAAGAGAAGAAGTTTATTTAGCTCACAATTCTGAAGGCTGGAAAGTTTGAAATTGCACGTCTGCATCTGGTGAGGGGCTTTGGCTGCTTCCACTCATGGCAGAAGGCAAAGGGGAGCCAGCCTTTGCAGAGATCTCTTGGTGAGAAAGGAAGCAAGAGAGAAGGGGAGGTGCCAGGCTCTTCAACAACCAGCTCTTGTGTAAACGAAGAGAGTAAGAACTCACTCATCTGGGAGGGAGAACATTGACCTCTTCTTGAAGGACCTGCCCTCATGACCCAAACACCTCACATTTGGCTCCACCTTCAACTTTGGGATCAAATTTCAACATGAGGTTTGGAAGGGACAAACATCCAAGCCATAGCACCCCATAATTTAGGATTAAATTAGGTCTACCATTTATTGTCTCTTTTCTCTCAACAAGAATACAAGCCAAAAAAGGCAAGCATCTCTGTCTGTTTTGTCCTCCGATGTATCCAAAGCACCTGGAACATAGTAGATGCTCAGTAAATATGTGTGGAAGACCGGAAGGAGAGAGGGAGGGAGCCGGGAGGGAGGAAGGCAGGCAGAAAGACAGCAGTGTGGATTAGCATCAGATGGTAGACCACCGGTCACAAAGAAGGATTCAAGGCCCCTTGGAGCTCATGAAGAGACCAAGGAGTATCTTGGCATGCCAGTCATGCCCCCACCAATACGCGCCCTGAGATAGTGGGGAAGATCACAGTCAGAGCCAGGTGGGAGGGGGAAGAAAATGGACGTCACTGGGGGAACTCTCAGAACGACAAAGGAATAAGAATTTTTTCTCCCTGCTCACTGCTTGTGGACTTGTTAGGCAAGAGGGTCAGCACACTCTGTAGGCCCCAGGATGAAGCTGCCTCTGCTGCTGGACCAGCACTCCCTGGAAGTGGAACACAGTGTCAGTACATAGGCCTGTGGCTAGAGCAGTTCTTCCTAGGCTTGGAAGGGGCAGGGGTAAAGGGGGATCCTGGTGTCAATCATAGGAAAAGGGATGGATCCCTAGACAGGAAGTGACCTTGAAAGGAAGGCCTGGGACAGAGAGACAGGTCAGCCTGGCTCTCAAATCTCATTTCCTGGGACCTTGACTGAGGACACAGACTGTCCTTAGTGGGGATTGCTGAGCTGCTGCCTGTGGTGGAGGTTAGAGGTGGAGCAGAAAGAGGAAGGATGCAGCCATGGTGGCCTCCAAACTGAAGGTGCAGTACCCTGTGCTCTGATGGCCCTGGGTCATAGGTCTTTTTGCAGCCCACTTCCCTGTAGGATGAATGTGACAGACTGTGTTTTCCAAAATGCTACTAAATTATTTCCCATCCCACATACTCTCCTGGAAATTTTTCATTCCCACAGTAAGAGATAGAGTCTATGTTTCTTCCCCTGCCTGCCCCTGGATGGGCCTTTGTGACTGCCTCCACTCATAAAGTACAGTGGAAGTGACCCTATGTGACTTCTGAGGCTGGGTCACAAAAGGTGATACAGCTTCTACCTGATTCTCTCTTTGTAACCCAGGGCTGTCAAGTAAAAAGTCTGAGGCCACCATGCTGTGAGGAAGCCCAACTAGCTCACACAGGCAGACCACAGGGAGAGGCCCTGAGACTATGTGACAAGATGCTGGATCTCCCCTGATCTGCCACAGCCCTTGCCCTTCCAACTCCAGCCATGACCCCAGGACAACTACATGACAGGTATGGTGCCAGAGCCACCAGCCAAACCATTCCCAAATTCCTGACCCACAGACCCAAGAGATATAATAAAGCATTGGTGTTGCCTTAAGCCACTGATTCTAAAATAATTTGTCACTCAGCAACAGAGCAATGGAACATTTCAGCTGGTCTCCACCATGCTCCACTGTGCAATAGGGGATAGGGGAAAGATGGAGTGTCTGTGCTTGGGTCAGAGGAGACACAACCCTCAGGGACAGCATGGAGGAGGTGGCTGATTAGTAAGAGAGTAGCATGAGAATCCTCCATGGCAGAAGTTGAGGCTGTAAGCCCTGGCCAGCCAGCCCTCCTTGCCTTGAAGGGCAGGTCTCACTTTTTAGAGGCCTGATAAGCCACTTATTGATAGCAATTATTCTCTCCATTGTGCTGAAGAGAAACCTGAGGCTTAGTGCACACCAAGGTCATTGTGCCCACACAGAGTGGAACTTGGATCTGAGCCCTGGGTTTCCCCAACTGCAAGCCTAAGTGGCTTTGCCAACACCACGGATGCTCAGGGAAGAGCCCAGTCATGCTGTGCAGACTGCAGCAGTGTGGGAGGAAACAGGGAGGGGTCCTGCATGGGGCAAGCTGAGGCCAACTCACTTCCCCACCCTGCACAGAGAATTGGACCAGTCCTGTCCAGTAACCTCCACTCCCTCCACAAGCAGGCATGACTATATCCGTCCAGAGACATGCTCCTCCCCATGAACCCCTGCTGCCAGCCTGCCTTGCCCCTGCAGCCCTCCACATACCTTTTGCAGAAGAATGTCCTCTCCATCAGACAGGGAATTGGTGCACTGGGAAAGATGCCCTGTGCCAGGCAGGTTATCGTGAGGGTGTGAACCCCAAAGCCTGGATTCTGCAGGCTTCAGGCAGTGTTGCGGGGCATAGCTGTCATTGAGGGCTGCCACAGTGGAAAGTCAGATTCACCCAAAGTTAGAAAGCTCCATGCCTGGAACACATGTGGGGTGGGCAGCAATAGTGAATGGGGCAATGAAGAATCTGCAGGTGGTAGCAACAGCCAATTCCCCACAGCCCCAGGTCTGCTGCAGGAATACTTTCCCAGCACAAAAGCCTCCTAAGAAGTGAATGTTAGGACATGGTGCTTGGAGGGACAGAAAGGGAACTCAGAAGGTGTTATGATTCTAAGTTCCTCTAAATGGGGATACAGGGAGTAAAGTGTGAAGCTGTTCAGGTGCCCCCTGCCCACTGAGGCATTCTGATAAGGAGGCAGAGCCAAGCCTGCAGGACTATCTGGGCCCAACCAGGAGAGGAGGGTGAACGCCTGGCAGGGGCAGCCTGAAGTTGCTGTAGGCACTGGAGACCTGGAGCTGCTGGATGAGGGAGGCCAGCGGGGCACCAGGCTCTGACAAACTGCCACCCTCCAAAGTCACCCCACTGAGTAAACAGAGATGAATCTTCCCCATAAAGAGGGACTCCAACTGATGCCATTACTAATCACTGGCAATAAAACTGCTAAATAAAGAACGGAGATGGAATGATAAATCTACAGGAGGGAGGCCCGACAGAACAATTATGCTTGAGAGGCAAACATGCTTTCACAGACATCACTGCCAGCCATGTATTATTAATAAAATAGTCATTGAGCTCAGTCAATAATAAAAGAAGAGGGGACACCAGCCTCCCTGACCCTAGTGGAGTCTTCCATCAACTCTCAGCCCTAGCACTGAGCACTGACAAGAGCTCCTAGGTATGGGAATGCACTGCCCTGCCCTACTCCTGGGGTCACAGGAAGGACCCTGATGGTTCCCACTGCCAAGCACACCAGGTCCAGGTCGCCCTTTCTCAGTTGTAATGACAGCATCCCCCCACTACGGTCGCATAACAAATTATCCTGAAACTTAGCAGCTTAAAAGAACAAACACTTATTATCCTGCAGTTTCTCTGGGTGAGAATTGGGCATGGCCTGGCTGGGTGTCTCTGGCCTTCGGTGTCTCATGAGGCTGCAGTCAAGCTGTTGACCTGGGCTGCTGTCTCATCCAAAGAATGCTGGGGAAGGGCACTCTTTCAAACTCATGCAGATGGGCCTCTGCTCCTCTAGGGCTGTTGGCCTGAGGCCTCCCTCAGTTCCTGCCTCATGATATGGCAGCTGGGGGCCCACCCTCTCCTGAGGGAGCTATCCAAGAAAAAGTGGGAGCACACACCTGGGACGGAAGCTGCCATCATTTTCTACCCTAATCTGGGAAGTGGCATCCCAAAGCTGCTTTTATTCATCAGAAATGAGTTACTAAATCCAGTCCACACTCAAGGGGAGGGGGCTACAGGAATCACTGGGGGACATTTTAGAAGCTGCCTGCCACACCTACTACATATGGGGGTGGGTGGTGAAAAGACCAGCTGAGAGGCAGGTGGTCCTCAGAGTCAAAGAAGGCATCAGGGAGTGAGGGAGGGATGGAGGGAGGCAGGACATTCATCAACAAGATGAAATATTTCCTCCCAAGTTGTGTTTGCTTCTCCCCCCTACAACCCTGCAGTAAAAAAGTACCCTAAAAGAACAAAGGAATTTGAGAATTTGTGTCAACCCACATCTGCTCTTTAATCCCCTCATACACATGGTGACACAGATACCAAAAAAGGGAGCGTGAGGGGGCTCCCTGAAGCATGGCTGGCAGCTGTGCCTGGCTATTGTGTGTGACCCTCTTCTCTCCTGGCACTCCTCTGCCCACAGAGAAATGGGAACCAAGAAGCAGGTGGCCTTTTCAGGATAGGAGAAACATGCCCAATGTGGACTGCATTTGGGGTCCCGCCTATGCTCGGGGCTCTGTCTCCCTTACCTCACTCAGGGCTCATCCCAGAGCAGCCATCACTCTGCCTGCTTTCTGGGAGGGAGGAGCCCACCAGGAACACTGGTCTTTGACCCAGGCCCAGCACTGGGGAGCCAGCTCTGTACAGACATCTGGAGAAAGAGATCTGGATATTAATGAAAGTGAGAGTGGAGGTACCACTCATTTCCATGAGTCATTGATGGCCACTTGAGCTGGAGCTCCAGGAAGCTCACAGAGCCGGGGGTGTAGACAGCCTCTGGGGGCCTAAAGGTGAGCAGAAGTGTCCCAATAGCCTCCTAACTCTGCCCAGGACTTCCTGAACTCTCATGCTTTCTCCCACATCTCATTCCTCTACCTACCTGCCCACCTCTGAGTTGGCCAGAGGAGGGCTGGCCTAGGGTCAAGTTTCCCTCCCCATGTTGTGACAGCTGGGGACCCCCCACCAAGACAGGCTGGAAGGCAGAACTCAGCCCCAGTCTTGAGACACCAACAGGATGACCTGTTGCCCCGTCTCCAGCTAGCTTCCAGCATCCCTCCCCACACCCTCCAGCCCCCTCCACTGCAGCGACAGGCAGTGCAGGATTGGCTGGGAAGCAAAGCAGGAGGAAACCCCAGCAGGAATATGTGTTCCCTGTCCCTCTCTGGGACTCAGAGCTGAGTGTAGTGGAATGCCTGTCCCCAGGCCAAGACTCCTATCCAGCAGCCCCCCTCCAAGCGATAGGGCCCACTGGCTCAAGGACCCTGCCAGCCCTTATCCGCTTGGGTCCAGGGGTGTAATGGCTCCCCACTGTTGCCAGCTTCACCTACACACCTGAAAACCCTCCCTCCATGAAGCTCTTTGAAACCACCTACGGGAAGGCACCTGCAGGACCCTGACTGGTGGAGATGGGGTGGACTCAGCCCAGAGCTGGGAGCTGGTGGGGACAGGGTGGGAATGAGGATGGGACAGAGACAAGGATGAAGGCTCCAGTGGCCATAAGATAAGCTGCCAGGCCCATCTGACAGCTGTGTGGACGTGTCCGGCTGCCTCAACAAGCTGAGGTGAGCGTGGAGTCTCCTCCTGGGACCTCACCTGGCTGCTTAGGTCTGGCTTTTTACTGCACAGCTGCCAAGAGGTACAAACAGGAGTGGCAGCATCCTGCTCCCAGCTCTCTGGGTGAGCGCCGTCTCTCTAGATCAGTCTGGTCACTCACCTGCCTCAGCCAAGTACTCTCAGGACCACAGTTGATGTAATACTTTTTCTTTAAATCAACTCCCTTTTTTATTCCACTAAAATATTCTAAAAGGAAACTATCTCAATGTTTTGCTGTGCCAGTTTTCTGTTTCTTAATGCATGTCAACATGGATACACATCTATATAACAACTGTGTTGATGCAGGAACCGTCTAAGTGTTTTTCATACCCGGAATGCAGCACTCCCCACAACTCTACTCCAGCTATGTGCCTGGGACACCCAGTCTTCTCACAGCCAGGGCATGATCCCTGCAGCCACCTTGGGGCACAGGAAGTGGGGTGCCTTGCTTCTTGTGTTGGCAGTCAGGATTCAAGCTGTCTGTCTTGGAGTGGGCAGGGCTGAGGGGTTCCTCAGCTTGGCAGTCCTGGGGAAGGAGCTTCTAATCCACTGTCAACACTGCAGACAGCAGCAGGCCCACCTCTCTCCAGCAGGGCAGGGGGGCTCAGGACAGGTTGCCGATCCCTGAAGACCATACCTTTGCTTTGGGACAAATTCTCAGGAAAGGAGGGAGCCTAGGCATCTGCATCAGATGTATTTTGGCTCTGCTGATCACTAGCCATTTTGTCTCTAGGTAAGTCACTTAAACCCTTTAAGCCTCTGCTTCTTCCAGATGTAAAGTAAAAAACATAAAATAATACCAGCCTTATAAATGTATGTGTGTATCAGAAATAATAGGTGAGAAGCCTCTGGCCGAATGCTTGGCACATAGATGGTATCCATAAATAATCTTTATTTTCATAATCAAAGACAAAGTCAGCCCAGCAACCCTTGATATTCCAAAACTTCCTTGGTATTCCAAAACTTCCTTGCAGCCCATACAGTGTAAAGCTCAGACCCCCACCCTGCTTCTCAAGGCCCCTGGCCTCTGGCCTAAGCCTGTGTTCTGGACCTCCCCCACCACACCCTGGCCACCTTTGTTCTTCTCACATGGGACTACATTGACTCTTCACATAAATACATCAATTTTCCCACAGGACGGGTCTCCAAACATTGTACCTGCACCCCTAAGTCAACTTTCTAGTACCAAAGCTCGACTTCAGAGCATCAGCCTGTGCATGGACACTTTAAGCTAAATAGTCAGTGCTTTAGTGTGAACATATTTTTATCAATACCGCAGTGTTGGTGCTATACAAGATTATTAGCCCTTATTATCTTTTTAAAAAGTGGGAAAGGAGACATTAGGTTGCTAACTAAAATTAAAGCAGAAAAAAAATATAAATCATGAGGCATACTGCTACCAACAAGCCACTGCTTTCACTCTGATGTTCACTGGAACAGTCTGGGCACTAGGTGTCCATCTGTGTAAGGAACAAACCAGGAGAAGAGCAGCAGCCAGAGGTCCGGAGGAAGCAGAAAGGAAGTTTCTAGAAGTTAAGTGCATGGATGGAGGGAATAGAGATGCATGGATTGAGAATGAACTGCAAAAGAACATTCCAGAAGCAGAAGCCTAGGCCCTGTGTCATTCATCCAAGTGTCCATGGGGGATGAATTGTGAAGCTAAATGTGGAGTATACTTACAATGAAATATTACCCAGTCTTAGAAAGGAGGGAAATTCTTACACCTGCTACATATTTTGGGACTCCCTCCAAAATAGGTATTTAAGAAGGAAAAAGCAAAGACCCATCAGTGTATTTGACATGCCACTATTTGTTTGAATGGGAGATATGCATATATGCTGTCTCTGGGTGGATACGAGGAACCTGGTAGCAGAGGACATCTTTAGGGAGAGAGGCCAGAAGAGAGAAGGTCAGCAATGGGGAGAAAACATCCAACATAATTCACCAGGCTTCCCTGTTTTTTTCTTACCACGTGAGTAGGTTGTAGCATACGGATCCAAATGCAGAGAAGATTCATGAGTCCATATGTTACGTTGTGGCTTCCCACAGACTCCCCTGCCAAGCAGGCTGGCATTACATCTCCTCTTGACAGATTGTTCCCAAAAGTTGATAAGACATCACCAAAGTCAATTTTGCATTGTCCTGCTCAATCTTATACACCTTGAAAGAATCCCCATCAGCAAGGCTTTTTCCACATCAAAAATAATTTCCTCCAATAAGCACATGAAAAGATGCTCAACACCACTAATCCTGAGGAAAATGTAAATCAACACCACAATGAGATGTCATCTCACTCCCATTAGAAGGGTCAATGTAAAAAAATAAAAAATAACTAGAATCCTTGTGTGTTGGTGGGAATATACAACGATGCTGCCACTATGGAAAACAGTATGGTAGTCCCTCAAAAAATTAAAACAGAACTACCATATAATCCAGTAATCTCACTTTGCGGAATAGGAGATATACCAAAAGAACTGAAAGCAGGGTCTCAAAAATGACAATAGCCCAAAGGCTGAAGCAACCCTCGTTTGGTTGCTTATCCATTTGTCCAAGTGTCCATGGGGGATGAATTGTGAAGCTAAATGTGGAGTATACTTACAATGGAATATTACCCAGTCTTAGAAAGGAGGGAAATTCTGACACATGCTATAACATGAATGCCTTGAGGACATGATGCTAAGTGAAATATGCCAACTGGAAAAAGGCAAATACTGAATGATTCCACTTAGATGAGGTACTTAGAGCAGTCAAACTCATAGAAACAGAAAGTAGAATAGTGGTTGCCAAGGGCAAAGGAGAGGAGGGATTGGGGAGTTACCAGAGTTTCAGTTTTGCAAGATGCGAAGTTCTGGAGATGAATGTTGTTGATGGTAGCACATCAATGTGAATGAACTTAATGCCACTGAACTCTATACTCAGAAATGGTCAAGATAGTAAATTTTATGTCATGTGTATTTTGCCACAATAAAATATATTTTTAATTAAAAATTTTTTCTGTTTCATAAATGTCACTATATGCTATCTGACAGAACTAGATTCAAGTGTTTAAAAAGTATTTTAGAAGTTATGTTGTGTTGACTGTTTGTGTCCCCACCCCCAACTCACTGGCTTCATATGTTGAAGCCCTAATCCCCCAGTGTGGCTATATTTAGAGATGTGACATAAAGGAAGTAATTAAGATTAAATTACATTATAAGGGTGGGGCCCTGATCCAACAAGATTTGTGTCCTTGTAAGAGGAGATACCAGAGAGTTCTCTCTCTCCCCTCCCCTACCCCATGAGGAAAGGTTACTTAAGGACACAGCAAGAAGGCTTCTGTCTGCAAGCCTGGAAGAGAGCCCTCACCAGGAACCAACACTGCTGCCACCATGATCTCAAACTTCAGCCTCCAGAAGTGGGAGAAAATTAATTTCTGTTGTATAAGCCATCCTGTCTGTGGTATTCTGTTATAGCAGCCCAAACTGACTAATACATGTTGTATGTAGTCAATGTTTACTCTCTACAGTTAATGTTTTAAATCACCATGAATAACAATCACGCTTAACACTCTTCTTTAAAAACCATATAGCCCCTGTGTGCTCTCATGTATATAACAGTCTCAAAATTTTTTAAAGTATAATGATGGAGGACAGATGAATACTGCCAGGGGTTACAGCTGGGGAGGGTATGATTACAAAACAGTAGTATGAGTCTCTTGCAAGTGAAGGAACAGTTCCACATCCTGATGGAAAATGTATATGTGATGACATTTCATGCAATCATTACCTTCCTCCCCCAAAACGAGCATATGTAAAAATTTATGAAATCCAAATAAGGTCTGTAGATTAGTTAATAGTATTGTAGCAATGTCCGTTTTCAGTTTGGATCATTGTACTATTGTTATGTCAGTGTTCTCTTTGGGAGAAGTTGGGTGAAAAGGACATGAGAACTCTGTACTACTTTTGCAAACTTTAAGTGATTCAAAAATTATTTCAAAATAAAAAGACTTCTAAAATGTATCCACAGTTAAAGTAGCTTTTATCAAAAAGATAAAAAAAAAAAAAAAAGCTGGTAATGGCATATACGTGGAGACAGGAGAACACTTGTACACTGTTGGTGGGAACATAAACTAGTACCGCTACCAAGGGAAAGAGTATGGAGTTTCCTCAAGGAAACAAAAATGAAACTACCGTATGATCCAGCAGTTTCACTCCTAGGTATATATCCAAAAGAAAAAACCTCAGTATATTGAAAAAAAACATCTGTCCTCCCATGTTTATTGCAACACTATTCACAATAGCCAAGACATGAAATCAACCTGAGTATCCATCAACAGATGAATGGATAAAGGAAACATGGTATATATACACAAGGGAATAATATTCAGTCATAAAAAAGAATGAAATTCTGTTGTTTGCAACAACATGGATGGAACTGGGGGACATTATGTTAAGTTAAACATGCCAGACACAGAAAGATAAATATTGCATATTATCTCATATGTGGGAGCTAAAAAAAAAATGATCTCATGGAAGTAGAGAGTATAGTGAAGGTTACCAGAGGCTTAGAAGGGTGGTGAGGATGGGGGGATTAAGAGAGATTAGTTAATGGGTACAACAATACAGTTAGATGGTAGGGGTAAGATCTAGTGTTTGGTAGCACAATAGGGTAGCTATATTGACAATAATTTATTGTATATTTCAAAATAACTTGAGGAATGGATTTGGAATGTTCTCAACACAAAGAAAGAATAGTTGATTTGGGGTGATGGATATTCTTGATTTGATCATTACACATTGTATTTTTGTGTCAAAATATCACATTTACCCTATAAATATGTACCACTATTTCCTGACCCTAAAAAATTAAAAATTAAGACATGTATCCAATAGTTAGAGAATTTGTGATATTCTATAGCTCCTTGGAGACGGAAGCCACTTTATCATGTGTAAGGTCTTGTTAGACTTCTGTACACAGGACTTTCATATCATCCCAGGTGCACTCCTGGTGAAAACAGGGGCACAACACGCTCAGTGCCCCAGCGTCAGTGGAATTCTGCCTCCCTCTCATTTATAGAGGCTTCTCTCTGCCCAGAGGATTCTTCTCCAGTTCCCTCAGTCTGAAGCTGCTCACCGTTGTCCAGGACAGCTCACACCCTCCTCTGCAGCAGTAACCTCACTGAGTGCTGGCCACAGTGCCCCTCACTGTCTCATCCCACCTAATCCTCATTGTCCCCATTTTACAGATGAGGAAACTGAGACTTGGAGAGGGCAGGGGACTTGCTTAGGTGGGTGGCGTGGGATCCTGGACTCAAGGCTGGGTGTGGTGACACCCCCTCTGGGCTGCCATCGCCCGCCCCCCCCACCACCACCACTCAGGCTGCCACCCGCAGTCTGGCCTCTGGCAGCAGGTGTGAGGGAAGCCAATGGGGAGAGGGCACTAATTCAAGTCTGCAGCAGAGCAGCTGTTCTCTGGGTCCCTGTGGCCTGAGGCCATGCTGCTCTTAAGTTCCCGGGTAGATAAAGTGCTTCACTTAGGAGAAAGTCTGTCCCGGCTGCAGGGCCATTAGCTCCCTGACTCCTGAAAAAACCATTTGGCCAGTGCTGACAGATGTGGCCATTACACAATCACTTAGCCCCCTCTCGCTGCCCCATCCAGATCTTGGGAGGGGGAGGGGCTTTGAGGCAGGAAAAGCCCTGGGGAGAGTCCATGCGATTCACTTCCTGGCACTGCCTCCTCTCTGCTCTTAGGTTGCATTTTCCCAGGCCACACTGATGCAGCAGGAGGCAGCTTCAGACAGCACCATGTGCTGCCAATGACCTTGTTCTCCTGAGAGTCGTTCAAAAACTGCCTTCACATGCATCGTTTCCTTGACTCCTCACAATAACCCTCTGTACTCGAAGTTAGGATGATTCTGTCCATGATACAGATAAAGAAATGAGGAACAGAGAGGTTAAATGGCTTGCCCACGGTCACATAGCTAGGAATGTCAGGACTCTGATTCCCAGGCCTGTGACGCTTCCTCCGCCCCAGGCAGCAGTAACCCTGCTGGAGTGTTACCATGTATGGGGAACTCCACCTCAGAGGAGGGTTTCCAGGGCCAGGGCTACAGCAAGGGCTGCTCCTCTCTGCTGAGTGGAGGAATGAGGCCACCAGAGACTGCAAGGAACGCCTTGCCCCCTTGGCAGCTGCCAGGCAGCCCTTGACCTGGTGGGCCCCCAGCTTGGGTAATTTCCTCTTGCACCACCCCCCTTTGCTCCTAGACCCTGGCTCATGATGGATGAGTGCCCTCTCCCACTCAACCCCCAACTGCCGTGTGGCCCAGGCAGGGTTGGCAGCCCTCCAACAGCTGGCAAGCCTCCTCTCCCAGCCACAGCAGAGGTCCCAAGATAGGGGTTGCTGTGATCTGGGCCACCTAGCTGAGCCAGGCCAGGGCCAGGCAGCCGCAGCTCCAGCGTTGTCTGATAATGCACCCAGAAAGAGGGAGGGGGTGGTGCCCAGGACCTAAAGAGGTGTGCTAAAGAGCAATGGCCCGTCCTGAACTCAGCCAGGCTCTGACAAGAAGCAGCTTCGCCTGGCAGGGGCCCTGTTGTCAGCTAAGAGGCCGGTGAGCAGATGGCAGGCAGCAGCACTAAGCACAGGCCGGGCTCCCAGGCCAGTCTCCTTGGTCCATCCGGCAGGGTGCAGGACAAGCCCTAGGTGCTTCCAGGGTACCAGGGCAGGAGAGGCCCTAGGCACTTCCAGGGCACCAACCAATGCTGCTTTCCACCGAAATGCCTCGCTTTGTCTTGAGGTGGCTCAGAAAGAGGCAGCTGAAAAGCCCATATCTGGGCAGGGGCAGCCGCCTTTTCTAAAATGCTCTTCCTGGGGGCTGGGGGATGGATTCTGGTTTATCCAAACCCATTACCCTGACTCCTGTTATGGGACTGAGAGCCAGGGGGGCCGGCTCTGCCAGAACAGCTCAGGCTGGGAGAAAGGTTGGGGCCACTGCTCTTGGCCACGAGGACTGCAGGCCCCAACCACCTGCCAGTCTCGCACTAATTATGTCGTCCCCCTCAGACGGCAGTTGGTGGTGCTGGGGCCAAGGGCGTCCAAACTTGGAGGCCAGGGCTTTGTTGTCATTGGGAGTATGATCTGGACACAGGCAGGCAGCTGAGAACGGCTCCAATGGGACACCTGGGTGTTCCACAGCCCTAGGGTCTTTGAGCTTCCTGGGTGCGGCAGGCACACCCTCCATTCCTACAAGTTTGCTGGAGCTGCTGTAGAAGGTATTTGGCCAAGTCTTGATGAGAAAAACAGCCAAATGTGGAATTCTCTGAAGTAGGCTGACGGTGTTCATGAGTGGAGACCAGAATGAAGCTGCATTATCATTTAAAAATAATAAAAATATAAGCCCTTATAGTCCCTGTCTCAGGGAAACCTATCATCCTTTGGTTTAACTTGCCTCAGCAGGGACTGGGTTTTCTACATCTGTGCCCTTCTCTGCCTCTGGTGCCATCCCCGTGGGGGTAATGGGGGTATATGCTGGGTATCGACCCAGATCCCCAGCCCAGAGACTTAGAGCCATGTTCCCTCCCCCGGGCAGGGCAGGGCCAGAGTGGACATGATTGACCACTCCTGATGAGACCAGAGGTGTCTGCTGGCTCAAGTCCCCAAAGGGTGTGGCTGAGGCTGGAAAGTCACAATGATCCCGGCCTGGCTGATGACTGTGAGAGAGCAGAGAGGGCCAAGCTGCGGGGGAAAACGAGGGAGGTTCCTGACAACCCCCCGCTTCTTGGTGCCTGTCTCACTGGGATCCTAGGACTAGAGTCTCAGCCATCCTGAGCTCCATGAGATCGCTTGGTATCCTCCTCCTAAAAGTGCTTTTTGACATAAACTGGCTTCAGTGCTTTCCAGTACTTGCCACTAGAAGAGCTCTCTCTAAGACACTCTCCCTGACCCCAGCCTTCATGCCCACCCCTGCCTCTGGGTACCACAGATTCCCTTCCAAGCTCAAGTGCCTGGGCACACGCCTCCTCCTGAAAATCAACTCTCCTACAGCCCACACAATTTGCTCAGGAAACGGAGTGGCAATCCCAACTCCCTCTGCAGGCTCAGGCACAGCTGAGAGCCATTCCATCATTTCCTTCTTGAGAAAGTGAGGTTTTCACCTGAAAAAGGTCTTCAAGCCTTTGACATGTGTGAGGCTTGGTGGAACAAGAGCTGGCTTTTCTACTGCACTTCGTCCATGCCAGGCACCATGTAGCTATCCACTCATTTAATCTCCAAAGAGCCCCGGGAGGCTGGTGCCATTATTACGTAGATGACTGAAGCACATAGAGGTTAGGTGACCCACCCAGAGTCACACAGCCCTTAGGGCTAGGATTCTGAAGAAGTGAAACATGCTCTTAACCAACTTTGATGAAGCTCTGAATCTGTAAAGGTTTCACTTCTTCTGGTGAAGCCAGAAAATTAGGAAGAAAGAGAGTTTCCATTACGTAGACTGGTTGAGTCTCAGGCGCCTTCTTGGTGTCCCGTCTTGCTAGAATATCCATCAGAGGGGCCCAGAAGTTCTGGGCACCATTGAGTTCAGGGATCGCCACTGGGCCTGCTCTCAGACAGGCACACACCTAAGGCCAGGTGCAGATAAAATGGGGGCAGGCTTACCCCTGCCCCTGCCAGGCCGGACCCAGGGGAGGGAGACACTGAGGTCTGACAGGGCGCTGGGGTGGTTCATCCTCCCCTCCCACAGGCCCATCCAGGACAGAACCCAAAAGACAGTGAGCAAAGTCAAACCATGACTCACCATCTGTTGAAACCTGCTGGGAACAACGGGTCCTCATATGCCTCCGTGGAGCTCCTGGCCTTGAAGACTGAGCCCAGTTGACCTCATCAAGTCATTTATTAACCACTCTCTGTGTGACACCCAATAAAGCCGAGCTTTCCCTCTTCCTATCAGAGCCTATCAACTATGTAGCTTCACAGAAGTTGCCCGACCTTAATGTGCCTCAGTTTCCTTAACTGTTAAATGGGAATAGTAGGACTTACATTGTGGGTTTATCATTGGGATTAAATGTGTTAACCTGTGTAAAGTTCCCAGGAAATGAGACAGTGGCAGAGTCAAAGGAAGTTCTTTCTACCCAACTGAGAGATCAGACACTGGGCACCCACTGAGGAATGGAGGAGGAGCCCCCAAGTCCCCCAGGTCCTATGCCAGGGCTGCCCGCCCTGACTCCATGCCATGCCACAGTTGCTTCTCCTCCGGGCAGGCTGTCATGCCCAACAAGGCCGGGCTGCTGCCCCAGTCACAGTCACAACTTCAGTGGTTTCTAGACTCCTTTCCCATAACCTGGAGGGCATTCAGGAATGGACTTCATTTGCCTCGACTAATAAATGAATAATAATAATTAATTAATTAATCAATCAATCCCTGGGGCCCGAGCCTCCTTCCCACACTGAAGCCCAGCTGCCTTTTACAGTCGTGTGATGAACTTCTGCAGACAGGGCAACCTACAGGGGCTCCAGCGAGAATGACCCTGCAATGCAGTGCTTGTCAATGCCTTGGGGAGGGCTCTGATCTGCACAGGGGCCCCTGTCTTGTCCCAGCATCCACTAAAAGGTTCCTGAGCCAAGGCCTCAATGTCCTCCTCCTGGAAGTTTCCAGGTTTCTATTTGCACCTTGGCCAAAGTGGAAAATTGAAGAGCGCAGACTCCACCCAGCCCTGCAGCCTCAGGGCTGGGAGGAACAAAGAGAGGACCTGAGCTTTTTCGGTCTTTGTTTTAACTCCTCTAAATTTATTTGGGTATTTAAACAAACAGAAACTACATCATGCATCATTACTTTTTGCCTTTGTACAACAAAACAAAGTACTCAATATCTCTGCAGAGGTTTGGTGCTCATTTTCTTTCCTTTCAGTAACATCAGGCAGACTTTTCGATATGATCCAGTTTTGCACAGTCACTAGAGTGTCGCATCATGAATTATTAAATCAGTGCTTCGTGGTAATACATAATTTCTTATCAATTATTCATGCTAATGTGTGTGTAGTTTACTTAATTGTGTTATTGACGATCAAAAGTAATTTCCTGAAAGTCCTCAAGGACACAAAATTTAATCAGCATAACTACTTTTCAGATGCAATGCTGTTAAGTATTCTTAATTTGCTCAACAGTTCACTTATTTATGTACCTTTCTGGAGGAAATACGAGTTTAATCAAACAATTAGATTGAAGAGTTAGTGTACATAAGGGCTTGAGCTTACATCCTTCAACCAAACATTCGTAATTACAGGGAAACGGAAGCAACTTTGCCGCTTTTTGGCAAATCGTTTCATCTTTATACTCAACAAGCAAAATACAGCAGGAAGAAGGATTTGATTTTTTTCTTTAAAGGAGACAGTGGGTTTTATCAAATGCTTCGTAGTGATCATAGACAAGGCATGATACACTCAGGAGTATTATTTGGGGGTCATGGAGTGGGGGAAGGTAAAAAGGGGACAGGAAATGTGAAAGTAAAACATTTTGACGATAATAACTGAAACCAAAATAACCATCATGAAGGCAATAACCATCCGCATGGAAACACCATCAGCAAAAGCCACCAAAGACTGCAACCTTTCCCATGCCGGGCGCCCCTGCCAGAAAGCGGCAGAGCTTATGCTATTGCACGTTCCCCTTGGATCTCCTCTAGGTCACCATCCTCACCAGAGAAAACAGCCACACTAGACCAAAACAGAAATCTCTGTGAAATTTGGCCCTTTGGAATTAATGCTCTCCACACCATGAGAAAGCTGTCTTCCCCATGCTCCATATCTGCACATACGCCGTTCCTGTCTCCTTTCCTACTTTTTTTTCCCCAGTAAAAAACCACCACCACTGAAGAGCCCCCTCTACGTGCCAGGCATGTGGGGAAAGGTAGTTCATCTGTATGCATAATTACTTCAGAGGCATTCCTGAAGGGCTTCTTCCCTCTCCAAGGGCCCTCAGGCCCTCCTGGACCAGAGAGCTGCTTTTCAGTTGCTTAACTTCCCACCAATCCACAGGTCTATCTGGGAGAGAGGAAGGGCTTGCAGGTGAGTGCTTCAGGTACAGGGGCCACACTAGTTCCACACCCACAGTGTCAAGACAGCAGCCCCCAGTTCATGGAGCAGGTGGCCTGGGTGATTAGCCCAGCCCCCCGGCCAGATGTGCCAGTGAGATCTCCTGGGTCAGAGCCACCGTGGTCCTCTGGGACAGGCTGTGTCCTGTTGGCCCCTCCCTACCCTGCATCTTCTCACTTTGTAATGAAGCCCACAACCAATATTCTCCAACAAGAGAAAGGGCATTACTGCTCATCTTGGTCCAGGGGAGCAAGAGTCGCTTGGGGTTCCACCAGTTCCCCAGTTCTTAAACACTGTAAGCGGGACAGGCCCTTTTCTTTTCATGAAACTTCAGCCCATGCCACAGTTCCTGGGGTTGACAAGACCTTCAAAGGCAGCCCAGGGAGGAAATAGGAAGGGAGACGGATGAGGAATCTACCTCCCTCCGAGACTCTGGGCCTGGATGGAAATCCCAGGGAGGCTCCTCACAGAGAGGGCTCTGCTGCCACCAAGTGCCATCGGGATCTGTTGCCAAAGAAGCCAGGACAACACTGCCGCACTGGTGGGACTCCAGAGGGACGCTCCAGGTGCCAAGGGAGCTGTGGGTCTCACTTGCCCGTCCTGGGTCCATGCAGAGGCCCTGGGGCCGCAGGCTTCTCCTTGCTATTTGGAGAGTTTTCTGTAGGGGCTGAGGCTGGGAGAAGGAGGGGCGGGGGAGGGCAGGCCGGGCGGGGCACTGTGGACCCTCATACACTCTTCTCTGCCTCGCTCTGTTCCTTGGTGGGAGAGGTCTTTTCCTGGCTGCCATCTGGGGGCGCCGGCTTGGCGACAGGGCCGGGGCTGCTGCTGGTGGAAGGCAGGAGGTTGGCTGACTGCAGGACAGCTTCTGAGTGCTCGCGGGCCTTCATGCGCAGGGTGGCCACGCTGGCCGTGCGGTTACTCTGGCAGCCATAGGTGGGAAGGAAGGAGAGTCCCATGGGGTCTGGGACGCAGCAAGAGCACAGTGGGCCCCCTGGAAAAGGAAAAACAACAGGCTCCCATCACTGTCTACTTTCTGCCTCTCAGGGCTGGGTGACAGGAAACGATCTGAGTTCTGAAGGACAGAAAGATTGATTCCCTCTGGTGCCAGATACTAAAGGGAGAAGGACAAGTGCTCAGAACCTCAAAGACACACAAATAAGGGACCTAGTTAATCGTTCAAAGGATTGTCAGAGCATCAGGGACACCTGGCGAGTCCTGGCTCCCTTGCCAAGCAGCTGTGTGGCCTTAGGCCAATATCTTGGCTTCTCTGAGCCTCAGTTTCTACTTCTGTAAAATGGGGTAATACCTACATTGCAGGATTATAAGGAGGTTCCCATTAAGTCATTCCACACTCCCAAACTGTGTCAAGGCACCCCTAAGAACTCACTGGGGCACTGCGGGGATACCTTAAATGGAAGGAAACCCAGCCACACATGTCAGGTGCCGGGCAAGCTGCTGGCTGCAGGCAGTTCCCAGCCTAACCACGAGATCCTGCTGCATTCCTGTCAAGAATTTTATTGCTTTGTGAAGCTGGATTTTGCAAGCACCACACAAAATTCCACATTGGAATATAAAATGTGTGTGGTGGAGTCTAATAGGATTCCAAGATTAGAGAAGCTGTACAAAGCTTATAAGGCACATAAGCCCCTTAGAAAGGAATAGTGGCTATTTAAAAATGAAAGCAGTCAGGTACAGTGGCTCACACCTACAATCCCAACAGTTTGGGAGTCTGAGGTAGGAGGATCGACTGAGCACAAGAGTTCAAGACCAGCATGGGCAACATAGTGAGACCCTATCGCTACAAAATAAAAATAAAAAATAAATTAACCAGGCATCATGGTATGTGCCGATAGTCCTACCTACTTGGAAGGCTGAGGCAGGAAGATCACTTGAGCCCAGGAGTTCAAGGGTACAGTGAGCCATGATTGCATCACTGCACTCCAGCCTGGGCAACAGAGCAAGTCCCTGTCTCTAAAAAATAATAACATTAAAAAGAAAAAGAAAAAGAAAAGAAAAGAAAAACATTATTTTTCTTTCAATTTATAAGTATTATTTTTCAAATGGCTACTAAGTTGTCAGGACATACTTAGTGAGCTGCTTGGACCTAACCATTGAATGAACAGAACTGTTAACTGTTAGATATTGCTTATGGCCCACAGGTGTCATGAACTGAGGTCTGAGAACCTCAGAGGGAACCAATTTGGAAAGTGCTTAGTGTAGGTCCAAGCCCAGGTCAATCCTTCTCACCCACGTGTTGCCTCTTGGCTGCTGATAATGGAAAATACGAAGAGGGAATTTCTGAAGTGGTCCCAGCCGAGGCTGAGGGCTGCAGCAAGGTCAGCACCAAGGTCAGCACACTTGTGTCCCAGCTCCCCTGCAGTCCTGGACATGTCCTCAGGCTGCAAGTGAGCTTTGAGCTGCTGTTCTGCCTTTCTGAGCATGCTCTGGAGTCCTTCCTCAAGCCACCAAGGGGCAGTAATCGTGAGACAAATGTCTGTGCTCACTGGAGCCTGGAAGGCCACCCTGGCCTGGCACCCACTTGTAGAGATCAACCTCAGGGGCAGCCGGAGCTACACCAGCTTTTCCAGCAGCTGGGACTTCCCCACCTCCCTTCCCAAGACAGCCTTCCTAATGCCAAAGCCAGGGTACCTTCTGCTCCCCTCAAGCATATTCATGTATCCTCCTCTTCCTTGCCAAGCCTGCTGAGAGACAAAGGGAACCTCACCTTTACCACCCGCTGCTCCTCTCATCACATTACGGCCACCCATAATGTAGGCGTGGTTCATCCCCCTCTCCAGGTAAGAAAACTGAGGCTCCAGATTTGCACAGTTTATTGTAGAGATGGGACCAGAACCTCCTGGTGGCCTTTCCCTCTCCTGTATTGTAATGGGAGGTTTAAATGCAGCTTCACCTCCTACCTCAAGTTTGACTGAGGGACTGATCCCGTAGGCAGCAGATACCAAGATGAGTGTGAGGCAGCACACACGCACAGTGTGCAAGGGAGCTCTGAGACCAGCCCCACTGCCCTGCAGGCCCGCTGGCCTCCAGCCTGTCATGCTTTTGGTCAAACCCCGAGGCCTGGCTGCTCCACTTCTCCTAGGGGCTCTTACACAGGCATAGCCACACCCTGACACCAGTCACTGAGAGACTCTCATGGGAGATGACAGCTTTTGCTGGGAACAATGCCTGCTATGAGCCTCAGTCCTTCCTGATGGTTAGAACCCACCCCCATGGGGCCTTATCTTCCTCCAAGTCTTCCTGCCCAAACGCACTCACTGGTGAGGAGCACCTAATGTGTGAAGACACCAAGTTATTAAGAATGGTGGTCCCCCTTGGAGAGGGTATGCTGTAGATTTGTGTTTTCCTCTCTATATCTATTTAGAATTTTTCTTGTTTTTCTACAATGAAAATGAATGTCTTTTAAACTTAGAAACATAATGTTAATTTTAAATGAATGTTAAAAAGAAGGAAGGCTAAAGACAGGCACACCTGAGAGCAGAGACTGGTTGGGGCTATAGGCTCTCAGGGACCTGGAAGAGGCCACTGTCCTTAGGCTTAGCCCTGGGTAGCTGGCCCTGGGTCAGGCCAGATGAGAAAGATGGGCTCAATCCATCTCAGGCTGGTATTAACCCAGTCAAGAGCTTGCTCCAATGTAAGCATCAATGGTGAGTTCAATGCTCTGTAACTCAGTGGCAAATCTAGCCATGTGCCAGACGTAGAAGTGACAGAGCCTCCTTGCCCTGGAGCCATAGCCTACAGCTGCTAGGTCACACCTGCAGCAGACCCCAAGAAAGCTACCCATAACTATACTCCTGGCCCTCAAAACCCAAACTTGGAAGTTAAGAGGAATAAATTAACTCACAGAACCAGGGCTGCAGCAGGGTAAAGAGTCTACATGTGCCTGGCTCACCCCCTACACACATACTCACACAGCACTGGATTGATGGGAAACTGAGGACCAAGTGAAGCCAAGGACCCTGTGGTTAAAAACCGTAAGGACTGTACATACCATGGAATATGACTCAGACTTAAAAGGAAGGGAATTCTGACACTCGCTCCAACAGGGGTCATTATGAAGACAGTATGCTAAGTGAAATAAGCCAGTCACTAAAAGAACAAATCCTGCAGGAGTCCTCTTCTGTGAGGTCCCCAGAGTACTCAAATTCCCAGAGACAGAAGTAGAATGACACGGACCTGGGGCCGGGGAGGGGAAGTGGGAATTGTTCGCCGGTCAGAGCTTCGGTTTTGCAAGATGAAGAGTTCAGGAGATTGGCTGCACAACAGCAGGAAGGTGCTTAATACGACTGACTCATACACTTAAAAATGGTTAAGATGGTAAATTTTATGTTACGCATGTTTTACCATAATCAAAAAGAAAATAAGATTTTTTTTTTTTTAAGTGTGCTGGCCAGAGGGGAGTTGAGGGCAAAGTGATCCAGGAAGATGAAGTGCACACAGGGCAGCCTGGCCTGTTTTTATGGCTCCTGCAGTGAGCAACAATCTTCAAAGCCCCTTGAGCTGCCAAACACTCACCCAGCCACACCCAGTCCCACGTCCATGGGGCTGGCACTCTCAACCCACCGCACTCACCGGGCCTTTGCCTAAGGAAGCTTCGCAGGGTTTTCACACGTCCCTCCAGCTCTTGACTATTGGTGAGAGGGGCAGGTGGGGGTGGAATTCCTCAGCAGGCAGCTGACCCTGATAGGTGTGCACTGAGCAACAAGAGTCTTGGGGCCTGGCACAGTGGCTCACACCTGTAAAACCAGCACTTTGGGAGGCCTAGACGAGTGGATCACCTGAGGTCTGGAGTTCGAGACCAGCCTGACCAATATGGTGAAATCCCGTCTCTACTAAAAATACAAAAATTAGCCAGGTGTGGTGGCTTGCACCTGTAGTCCCAGCTACTCCAGAGGCTGAGACAGGAGAATTGCTTGAACCTGGGAAGTGGAGGTTGCAGTGAGCCAAGATCGTGCCACTGCACTCCAGTCTGGGTGAAAGAGTGATACTCCTTCTCAAAAAAATAAAAAGAGCCTTGGGCACACAGCCCAACAGGTGCCGTCGCTCCCTTTCCTCATCTGCACCCCAAGCCTGGACTGCAGCAAAAGTGTCCATCAAAGGGGGCGGATGCCTGCAGGTGGACGCACAAACACGGTAACAGCCACACCTAGGAATGTGGCAAATGAGCCCTGGCCATCTGAAGGGAGGTCCTCAGAGGCTGCCAAAGGGGCTTCCCCTGGACCTGCCCAGACCTGAATGAGAACTGGGAAGATATGTGGATCCAAGACAGAGGTATGGAAAAGACTGAGAGAGGCCATCTGTGTAAGAGACAAGATTAAAAGCAAACAGGGGACAAATCTAGTGAGATGGTTAACAAGGAAAAGTATAAAGTCAATAATCTGCATCCAAGGATCCAACTACACAAAGGAGACATGGCTCAGCAATCAATCATGTGGTCAATACGACTTCACAGTAACTTCACTGCCATCCCACAGGGTTGTAGGTTGCCTTAACAGAGGCAGAACCTGCAGAAAAAGGGAGGGTAAAGTCCTTCTCTCTTGTGTGATGGTCACACCCTGCCTTATGTCTCCCATCCACAGACACCTCTGTCATCACCCTAAAGAGAAAAGCAGTGGGGGGATAGGAACTACAGTGATCTCGGCACATACACATGTTAACTTAAATTGTCCAACAACCAGCATCTCCCTTGAATTCTATAGCCATTTTTTGCAAAGGAAAAAAATTATTTCCACAAGCAGGATTCTTAAAAAACTGACTCTTGATTTCTCAGTGATCTGACAGTATCAATATGCCGCCTGCACAAACAACTTCATGGACCCTGAACACTGCTGAGAACTTGAAATAACATGATGGAGCTTCATCCTCTGGGGTTCCCAGGGTGACTCATTAGTAAATAGCTACTGAGTAAAAATCCAGACCCAAAGCTCATGCACTTTGGCCATGAAACGTGTGCTCAAGTAGAGGCCAGGCACAGTGGCTCGCACCTGTATTCCCAGCACTTTGGGAGGCTGAGGTGGGTGGATCGCTTGAGCCCAGGAGTTTTGAGACCAGCCTTGGCAACATGGCAAAACCCTGTCTCTACAAAATATACAAAAAAAATTAGCCAGGTGTGGTGGCAGGCACCTGTAATCCCAGCACTTTGGGAGGCCAAGGCAGGGGGATCACCTGAGGTCAGGAGTTCAAGACCAGCCTGGTCAACATGGTGAAACCCCATCTGTACTAAAAATACAAAAATTAGCCAGGCATGATGGTGTGCTCCTGTAATCCCAGGTACTCCGGAGGCTAAGGTAGGAGAATCGCTTGAACCCGGGAGGTGGAGGTTGCAGTGAACTGAGATCATGCCACTGCACTCCAGCCTGGACAACAGAGTGAGACTCCATCTCAAAAAAAAAAAAAAAAAAAAAAGCCAGGTATGGTGGCACACAGTTGTAGTCCCAGCTACTAGGACCCTCACCAAATGCTTGAAGATTCTCCTATGTGCAAAGTGCATTTCTAACATAAGTTGTCTGATTTCCAAGACTGCCACAAACTAGAAAGAAATGTGACTGCTAGTGGCAGACACATTGATGGTTAATGCTGAGAAAAGAGACAAAATTTTCTGAAACAGCCAAAAACACTCAAAATGCATAATAACCTGGAGCCATTTGCACAGAGGCAAGCAGAGCAGAATCCCAGGATGGCCCAAAGCCATCACAGTGGCGACTGTGGGTCACAAGACATGGTGTTTGACAGGGCTTTGAAAACTGCACCAAGCCTGTGACTATTAGTCATGGGGCCACTGAGTTGGCCGTGAGAGGAGCTAGGCACTGACTCTTTATTATGTCATAAGGTGACAAACACACTTAGAAAAGGTCTACCCTAAAACCAAGTCATCATTATGGAAATCCTATAAACGAGTGACAATAGGACATCTCTGGGGCCAGAAAAGCCAATGCAGCTGTGTAGAGCAGAAGAAGGTGATCAAAAGAAGAAGGTGGTCAGAAGAAGGTGGTAGAAGAAGTCTGGCCCCTGACCCCACTGTTAACCAGACACGGGACCCGCCTTCATCCACTCAAGCTTCAGCTTCTTCGCCTTAACACACCTACTTTGGGGATAAATCCTATAAAGCACCTGGTACTTAATCCTCAAACAATTATTTCCACAATTCCATACAAATTAAAGGACAATTCTAAGTCACAATTCACAGCTTATTCCAATTTCTGGTTCAATTCCATGACCAGCTGAAGAACCCAAGTTGTCCCGAGTATTCCCCAGAGGACACCATGATGGACACGAGACCTGCAACAGTACTCATGCACACACACGTAACACTACATACATGCACATATGGTACATGCAGTGACTGCTCTCACCAGCACTGTGTGCCTACCCTGCCATTGGCACAAGCCGTACACTTTTTCACAGCTGTATTTTTTCCTCAGTGAAATCTTCCCATCTGGCCAAAAAGTAATTTATACTGCCAAGAGAATTTTGAAGAGTAAGCCAAACAAACTTTCAAAACCCCCTCCTAATTACTTGATTTCTAGACATGGGACTCTAGAAGGGAGTAGCAGAGTATTGTTTTTGTTTTTGTTTTTCTTTAATTTATCAAAAAGCTATCATGTGCTCACTTCAGCAGCACATGCACTAAAATTGGAACAATAAAGAGAAGATAAGCAAATAATATTTTTTAAAGATAAAAAATTTAAATAAAAAAATTTTAAGCTATAATGAATGGGCTAAAAATTAAATTAGCTACTAAGGAAGTCATCCTTGTGCACATATAGCAGCAAAAAATCATGAATCAACCCATGGCCCAGTAATAGGGAACTGGCTGAATAAGTTATACCCATATAGAACACACTACAACTACGACAAATTATATTAAAGGAGGATATTTAGTACCATGAAAAAGATACTAATGAAATAAGACATTTAAAAAATAGGTAAAAGAGCAGTAAATAAACAATAAGTCATCAGTAAGTCAACATGAATACATTTTGGAATATATATGCGTGTGTATAAAACATACACATGCGATAGACTGAATGGTGATGTCCCCCCACCCCAAAATTCATATGTTGAAATCCTAAACCCCAAGGTGACAGCATTGGGAGGTGGGGCTTTTGGAAGATGATTAAGTCATGAGCACAGATCTCTCAGGGACTAATGTCCTTACGTAAGAGACCCCAGAGGGTTGCCCTGTCTCTTCCTCTTCCACTATACAAGGACACAGCAACAAGATACCATCTATGAATCCAGTGCCCTCACAAGACACTGAGTCTTCCAGCACCTTGATCTTAGACTTCCCAGCCTCCAGAACTGTGAGAAATAAATTTCCATTGTTTATAAGTCCCCGGGTTTACGGTATTTAGTTATAGCAGCCCAAATGGACTAAGATGATCCATATCCACATATACTAAAACACATATATGCATGTAGTGTACATATATATATGTACAGCCATAGACCACATAAATCTAGCTTCATAGGTGTATGTATATAAATATAAATTTACTTAGAAATAGAAAAATGTATAAATTTAAAATCTTAATTTAAACTTCTTAATTTAAAAGTTATTAAACATATGTTTATTAGGGATATATATTCATAAATGACATTTTAAAATGTTCCAATACCAAAATATTCACAGTGGCTGGTTCTGGGTGTTGAGGCTATGAATTTTTTTTATTTGTGTTTTATTGTATGTTTTGCTCTTTCTAAACTGACCAGGTATTACTCTCATAGAAAGGGTAATCTCCTTGGGGTTTGTGATTTCCTGTCTTCTCTCATTCAGACGATGGTGACAGATGTTCTCCAGCACAGAGTCCCACACAGGTTGCAAAGGGATAAAGACCGTGTCTTCATCACCCAGTGAAGACTCCAAGATGACTAATGGCCTCCGCCTGCACTCAGGGTATTGACAGCAAACATGGGGCTGAGGGTGCGCCATGAGATTCACCAGCAACCTTCTATTCATCTCCCCTCCCATTTGTGTGGACCAAAGTCAGTGAGTCCCTTCCTGCCTGCTCCCACCCCATGAAGCCCCTAAAAGGCCATGACTCCCTTCCTCCCCCTGGCAGGCTTGTGCCATCACAAAAGTCTTTGTAAGAGCCCTCTGGTCCTTAAATTCAGCCTGAGAACATGCTACTACCTCCTGGACACTAAATTAAAACACACAATTTGATTTCCATTAAGTTCCATCAAATTCTGCTGAATTGATCTAATCGGCCTCCATTCCTATATGACATCATGCTTTAAAGGCTTGGTCTGAATATAAATACTTAATGTAATAAATACAGTCTGAAATATTTGATCTCCTTGGCAGTTTAATTGATCTACTACCAAGACTGACAGGAAAAATTAAGTTAGCTCTGTCTCGTCTCTGCCAATAGCACATTTTCATCATTAAGGTATGTAGACTCCAATGCCAGTGACAAGGAGAGCTCTCACACACGGTTTTCCTGTTGAACGTTCAGGTTAGGGTAACAAGAGTTGAACAGAAAATGAATACATGGATTTATGAGACGTCTAACGCAAACAGCATAGTTCACTTATTTCCACTTTGTAGTAAAATAAATAAACTAATAAACATTTTGTGAGTCATCACACCAGTTCCTTATAGTTCACAAGGAGAGTTTAAGTGGGAATATTGGTAGATGCCTACAATATTTAAGCATACTTTTAGCTGCTGTGTTTAAGTGCAGTCACCAATAATCAAACAAAAAACAAGGCCAAATTCACTCCTGGACACACTGTCTTCTACTAAAGGAACTCCTGAAGTACTTTCTCCTCCTCTTGTTTTATGGTTTATTTCTTGTCTTTTCACCATGAGCCGTGTTTGTTTTTGTACACACCTCACCTCCCAAGCTTGATGTATGTGCCTCCCAGATCCAATCTCACAGCCCTGATTGCAGAACAAAACTGTCCCATTTTGGTACAAAGTAAACACTCAGTGAATATTTGGTGAAGGGAGAAAAGGAGAGAGAATCTATCTTTCTTGACCGAGTTGGCACATTTTAGTTCTTCAAAGTTGCCATCTCCCAGGTTCTAAGCTTCCTCAATACCCCATGGAAAGAAAAACTGTATTCTTAACGAAGTTAACCAATCTGATTAATGTCAAAATCCCTGAGTTAATTTGGAAGGGGTTTTGGTGGAATCAGCTCTAAATCCCACCCGTCCCTTAATTTCACCTATTACATGTAAGGCCTCTGTTTCGACAATTACTTATTCACTCAGCAAACACTCATTGATGGGGGCCAACTCAGCCGACCATTCCAACCAGAGCCTTGTGCTGTGACACAGTCTCAGGGCCAGTGCACATGTTCTTTTTCTGCTTGGATGTCTCTGCAGGGTCAAACAAGTAATGACAGTTGCCCCCAGATCCAAGGACACAGCCAGAGCAGTCACAGGGACGCATGTTCCTGGCAGTCAGATGCCAATTCACACAACCCTCCCTCCTTCCAGCAGCAGCCAGAGCTCGGCATGGGCAGGCTGCTTCTCCTGCTGCCTCTGGCACCAGCCAGACCCTTCTGCTCAGCTCTGTGCACTCCAGGGCCCCATTGATTAGCAGGAAGGGCAAACCCATCAGCACCCATAGGAAATGGCTTCTGCAGAGTGAGTTGCAGGTTTTCAAGCCAGAAGATGACAGAAGGTGCCTGTCAAAGGAGCAGAATCAATACAGGGTGTAGGGGGCTGGAAGGTTGCACACCCAGGTCCCTGAATTGTTGTGCCTCTGACATTCATGCTATGTGACCTTGGACAGTTCTATCTCTTCTCCAGGCCTCAGGTTCCCCCACTATATTCTGCAGAAGCCGTGGTAACATGCTCAACAAAGAGATCTCCTACAAATCTTAAGTGCCAGGATTCTCCACCTGTCTTCCTGACATCAGCTAGGCATGGAGGAGCCAGGGCTGACCCAGCCACTTTCCCCATGAGGAACGACCACTTCTGTCCCCTTGAGTCCTCTGCTCCCCAAATACCTGTATCCTCAGTAACAAGCCAGGAGCCCTGGGAGACTGTGTTGCTTTCCTGGAGCCCTATGTGCTGTCCACACACCATGAACCCCAGTCACCATGCACTGGGTACTGGGAGACTCTCCCATGGGAGAGTAAATGCTTGCAGGAAGCAGAAACCTCTGCCTCAGCGATCCAAACCCAAGCCCTAATCAGATCCCAAGTGACTTTTTGGCTCAACATCATGACTCTAACAACAATTACGAGAACTTAGGTGGATTTGGATGTGCCAGATGCATGGGCACCATTAGGTATGGCTGTTACAGTCTTTGTTTCACAGGTGAGGAGCCTGAAATCCACCCCAAGGTGACCCAGTGTCAAGAAGGACGCAGCATTGCCAGGCTCCTTCCCGGTGTTCATGTTTCTCTCTGCCTGGGGGACCCTCACTCACTGCACAGCTCAAGCATCTTCTCTGGAAAGACTTCTTCCTGTGGAGAAACTTCCTCCCTCCTCTGGGCTTCCCCATACTTTGTATGCCATTGTTTGCTTCTATGAGAGTCCATGACTGTCACCTGAACTAGGATTCTTGGTGGACCTGTCTGTCTCTCCAAGCCCACCCCCTAGCCCTCCAGATCCTTCACGTAGGGATGAGTCTAATTCATTGCTAGATGCTCAACCTGTGGTTCAGAGTCTGGCAAAGTGTAGCTGCTCAGTGGGTGCTGAATGAAGAACAGGAGAGCCTCGAGGTCTCTGGAGTCCTGCAGGTGGCCAGCAGTGCAAAGCCAGGGTCAATATCTTTGGAATCTCCTAAGAGAGGACCTTCTCCCAGGCCCAGAGCAACACAAGATTCTTTCCTTCTTTTCCCAAACTGCATTACATTTTACTCTGCACCAGACTCTGTGCTGGGGCAGAGGTAGGTGGAAGGATCCAGAGGCATGTTGGATGTGAATAGTGCCCTTAAAGTATAAATAGTCCCAACTGGAAGTACGGGTGGTCAACAACAAACACCCCAACTCATGGCAGGGGCCAGCATAACCTTGATACCTGTGGCAGTTAGTGTCTGCAGTCAGTCTTCAATGGACCACACCTCCCAGGACTCACACCCACGTGCAGTCCCCTCTGCCTGAGTCTGGGCTGGCCCGGCGATTGGCTTTAATCAATAGGATGCAGCAGCAGTGACACTGTACCCATTCTGGGTGTGACCCTTAAGAAGGCCTGGCATCCTCTGCTTTTATACTCTTGGTATCCAACCACCATTCAACCCTACCCCAAGCTAACCATAGGAGAGACCATGTGGAGAAAGAGGGAGAGGTTCCAGCCTCCCAGCATCTCTGTAAAAGCACCAGAGACCTAAGTAATGCCATCTTGTATATACCAGGCACAGCTGCCATCTGACTGCAACCTCACGAAAGAGCCTAAGGAAAAGCAGCAGAAGAACTGCCCAGTTGAGCCCAGCCAGCCCTCAGAATGATGAGAGATAACACAACAGTTGCTATTTTATAATACTAACTTTTGGGGCAACCACAGTTAAATAAAACCATACCAAAACCTGGAATGGAGATTATAAGAAAAAAACCACAGGCCCATCTCCTCATGATCATAGCTTCAAACTCCCTAAAGAAAACATTAGCAAACCAAATTCAGTAATATGTAAAAAGAATAGCATGTCACATCTAATTTGGGTCTATTCCAGGAATGTGCAGTTGTTTTAACATTTAAAAAAAGAATCAATATAATTCATCCTACTAGTATATTGAGAAAGAAAAAAAATCATGCAGTCAGCTCAACAGTTACAGAAGAAGTGATGAAATTCAATATTCATTAATATTAGTAATTTTTAAAAATGATAAGATAAAATTCTTAGAAAACTAGGATGAAGAAAATATATTTAATTGATAAAGGGTATCTTTAAAAAAAAAGGCAGCAAACACAACTGTGAAACCCTAAGAGCTTCCTCATGAGATCAATAAAGCAACAGCAGGTCACACACACCACATATTGCACGATTCCATTCACATGAGATGTCCACAGTCTGCAGAGACAGAGGGCAGAGTCAGGGTTGCTCTGGGCTGTGCAAAATGGAGAAAGTGCCAGTGACTGATAATGAGTACAGAGTGGTGAAAATGTTCTAAAATTTATTGTAGTGATGGTGAACACTCAAATGGTGAATACACTAAAATTACTGAATTGTACACTTTAATGGATGAATTGTATAGAATGCAAATTATATCTCAATAAAGCTTTAAAAACATTAGAATAAGGCCAGATGCCTGTTTTCACCACTTCTGTTCAATACTGTACTAGAGGTTCTAGCCAGCACAGTCCAGCAAGAAAAAGAAATTGAAAAGTATAAGCTTGGAAAAGAATAGACAAACTGTCTTTATAGACATGCTTGTGTACCTACAATATCATAAAGAATCTATGACTAAACCTAATTGCAACAAATCTTGTAAACATAGTGCTGAGCCGAAGAACTCAGACACAAAAAAATACATACTGTAAGACTCCATGTATATGTGTGTGTGTATATGCATGTGTGTATATATATGCTGTATATCTACTATATATATAGTACATATATGTATATGTGAAGTTCAAAAAAGTCAAGACTATAGATTGAGCCTCCCAAGTCCAAAATTTGAAATGCTGTAAATCTAGAACTTTTGCATGCTAACATGACACACAAATAAAATGCTCATTGGAGTGTTTCAGATTTAGGATTTTCAGATTTGGGATGCTCAACCACTAAGTAAAATGCAAATATTCTGAAATCCAAAAAAAATGCAAAATCAGAAACACTTCTGGTCCAACCACTGTGGATAAGGGAAACTAACTGGTACAGTGTTTCAGAATGCCTACTTCAGTGGTAAAGTTATATCATCATAAAAGTCAGCAGAGCGGTGTCTTTTGCTGGGAAGAAAAGTGACGTGAGTAAAACGAGGCACATGGAGTTAGGAGTGTGGAGTGCAAGCAAGGCCATTTGGATGCTTGAAACCATTAATAAAGTCCTAGGTGCAAGCTTCGTGCATTTTTCTAATGAATATTCTATTTTACAATAAAACCATTATAAAAATTGTTTTTTAAATTTTTTAAAACATCACAATTTTTTTAAAAAGGAAAACATCGTTAAAGAAGAAGAGGGGAAAGATGGTTTTGGGGGGCCTCAGAGGAGGAAGAGGTCACTTCTGACTCTGAGGTCAGCCTTTGTGGACAAACGCTATGGCCAATACAGCCCTCAGAAGCTGGACACTTCAGCCTGGCCTGGAAGTCCAAGGGCAAAGACCAAAGCAAAGCAAAACATCCTTGACTAATGCAGGGGCCTTGCCCTTAGGAAGGCCATGGCCAGACCTCTGCTAGCACTCCCTTCCCCTGAACATCCTTCCCCTCATCTTCAGACACTCGGTGCAGGACCAGGACTGTGGCTCAATTGCTCATGTCTAGTGAGTGCCATTGCATGCCTGCACCACGCGGGGCACTTGACCTACAGCAGCTCCTTCAGTCCTGACAGCGTCCAAGGCCTCTGCGGGGAAGATGGGGCCAGACTCCAGCCTATCTGTCCCCACACTCCTCCCAGCCTGGGCCTTACCTGCAACTGGCTGGAACCATGTCACCTCTCCAGAGGGGATGAGGAGGAAGGCAAGGAGTCAGATCTTACTCCATTGTCCTGCCACTGTTCTCTGGCCTCGGGCTCTGACTCTAGGGAACCACGCTGGGGTTGAGGGTCCCCATCATGTCCACCTTGCCCAGAAGGCTTACCCCTCCCACCTGGGAAGGTCAGCTATGGTGCCGCCACTTGGCAGGCTGTCCTGCCCAGTGCAGGGGGGTGGCTGTGACTCCTGCAGCATGAGCGTGCAGTGAGTTATGAAAGCTCTACCCTGGCAGCTGTAATTATGTCCCACCTCACACCCAGCTCTGTGAATCACAGGTTAGAGGCAGACCAGCTAATGCACCGAGGAGAGCACCTCCTCCGCTGACTGTGGCTCTCCAGCCCCAGCCATTCCTGCCCTGCCTGTGGCCAGCACTTCTCCGGAACAAACCCAAGCGCCTCCCTGGCCATTAATAACCTCCTCTGCATTAATGAATTGTGAATGAAATCCTGGCCATTAAGACAGCCTAAGAAAATTCTTTGTATTGGGACAGATTTTTCTCTGGACACCCATTATTGTCATGTTAGTCCTCCCTGCACAGGAGTAGGGTTCCTGCTCTCTTCTTATTTGAGAGTTTCCATAAAATAAAACATGCCCACAGTGAGCCCAGCAAGCCTGCCTGGCCATCCCAGAGGACAAAAGCACATCACTGCTTGAAGCCCCAGGGAGCCCCAACCAGGAAATCCTACAAAGGATATCTCATGGTCAAAAATTGGAGCAACAAGGATTACAAGGAAAAGGTAAATTTCAGTAGCAATAAAGTTCAGAGAAATGGGAGAGGTTTTGGAGAAGGTACTTCATTGGGTCCTTTAAAAGTGAATGGGGTCTAGGGACTGCAGCTGGGCATGAGAATGGAGGACTCTGGTCAACAATAGTTGGTGTTCAATGATGGTTAGTGATAGTGTCGCTTCCCACATGCTACCCACTGTCCTGAGGGCCTCAAATGCTCTAGCTTGTGTTCTCCTCATTCAGTCTTATGAATTCAGTGCTATTATGATCAAGATCCCCATTCTGCAGATGAGTGAGCAGAAGTACAGAGCGTTTCAGTGATTTACTCAAGATGTGCATGGCTACAGAATAGAAGAACTACGGTTCACACCAGCAGGCCCTTGCTGGAAGCCACTGTGCTAGTCAGCTGCTTCAGAATTAAAGGAGAAAATCCCCGCAAGAGCCTGGTTTCTGATTGCCTAGCTCTGTCCCTGGTGGGCAGCTTCCTGACTCGAGGCAGCCAGTTGCCTCACGGCCTGATGGGGGCAGCCCGAGGGCCATCCAGGCGCCCACCTGGTAACCCTGCAGACTGGTCTGCCACACCTGCACCTGTGGACACTCCACCTGGCCAGCCTCATTGGAGTGGCCAGGATCTCCTTCCCAAAAACGGCTGCCATCTCCCACAAACCTCCAACCCTTGCCCGGCTCCCTCTGGCCCGAGCAGCCCTGCTGACCTTGGCAGCCACATCTTTCTCATGCACGTGCTGCCCCACAGGCCCCAGCACCAACCCTGCTGTGCTAGCATCCCCAGCTCTCTCAATATGTGGAGGCTCTCTCAATATGTGCAAGACAAGGACTTCACATCCATGACAACCATGCCCAGAACCAAAAGACCAGGACCCCCAGCTCAGAGTCCTCTGATGTGTAACCACACATAATGCTCTCGGCGGTGCCCCAGTTGCTCACTGGGAGAACAGGTCTTGCCCTGGGGCATTGGGAACCCTGCATCGGCCTCACATTCTAGCTGGGGGCTGGTGCAGCACAGAACAGCCTTGGCTTGGATCCTCAGTCACAGGGGAGCAGCACCCAGGGGGTATCTAGGGCTGGGCCCGAACCTCCGTGGCCTACCCAGAGATGTTTGCTATCTTTGGTCCAAGGCTGTAAGATCCCAGTAAGACCACAAAGCCTGGGGAAGGAGACTAGCACTGATTTGGGTCTGGGAGCTGAAAACAACTCTGATTCATTTCTTCTGGGTGAATTGCAAGCTGCCACGGGCTTGGAGAAGTGGTTGGGATGTCTGGACTAGAAGGGGCCCCAGGGCTCAGCCCACATTGGTTCTGGTCTCTGTGGTCCTTGGCAAGTCCAGCCCCTCCCCCAGTAGATTTATGACTGTCACTACTTGCTGGGGAGCAGCAAGGAGGGATGTCCAAGGCCTCTCATTGTCCCCCAACCAGCCATGCTCATCCAGAGGAATTAATGAAAAAGTGGTGTCTGGTAGTGCCAGGCAGGGAGGGAAGGACACATCAGGAACCTGAGGACAGCAGCCTCCATCCCAAGGGGGAGACCCACCAGAATCAGTGATGTGTGAGCAAGCGACTTCCCCTCCCCAAGCCTCGGTTTCTCATTTATAAAAAGAGCTCAGTCAGGTGCCTTCTAGCACCAGCATGCATGCTGTGCTAGTCCCCGAGTTGGCTAGCAGCCCCTAGGAAGCAGGGTTCAGGCCTGAGAAAAGGAGAACTAGTTCAGCCAACAGCTGTGCCCAGCTACCTCTGGGGATGCAGGAAGATGAGGGAGGCTATGTCATAGCCCAGAGCTCCTCAAACTGAGCTAGGACCTAAAAAATTGAGGTCATTCCTTGCCCAGGCCTAGATTGGGCTGTGTGCTTAATTTCTACAGCCTGGGGAAACCTAAGAGAAGGAGAAGACTGGGCTGCAAGAGTCAGAAAGCTGTGCTGGCTCCAAGCCACGTAACACATGTTCCACCCTCACCCTACCTCTGGGCACTCTCCCATAGGCACCCAACACACCAGCCATTCTCCAGAGGGGTCTGGTTCTCCTCCTCGCCCCTGGAATGCTTTGCCTATGCCATTCCCTACACCCAGAATCCCTTCCCTCCTTCTTCCTGGACACTGTCTAGGGAGACTCTATCATATTCTCCTTCTGTCTCCAGAAACCACCTTTGAAACACAGACTGCCACACTGTGTGTGTGTGTGTCCCACCTGCTGGAGAGGGACCCCGGGGAGAATTGAACCTTGGCGGTGTTCGAAGCTGACTATGCCGCAAGCACACACCTCCCACCCCCACCCAGGGTCCTGGAGCAGAGATCCCCACACACCTCCAAGGGCAAGGCAGGGCTGACCTGCTGACTCCAAGGCAGCCCCAGGGACTGGCAGCTCAGAAGACCTCACTTCCAGAAGTGTCCCACAATGGAGCCAGGCACTTTTAGAATGCAGAGGTGCCACGACTCACATAAGCAATCCCAGCTTCACCCACTGGTTGTACAACTACAGACCCCCTCTTGCTATAATACTGACCACACTACCGTGAGAATTGAATGGCAGGTTGCCTGGTAGAGCACAGGATAACTTTCCATAATCGCTCACTTGCCTCCCTTTCCAACATGACTTAGCTTGTTGGAGATTTAAAAGCCACTGCTCAGAAAGGCCAGGCAGGAGTGGGCCATGGAAGGGGAAGGTGTCAGGATGAGCCCAGGGAGGAGAGCTTTGCTGGGGGCAGGAGGTAGGTATGCAGAGAGAACTCAGAAAGCAGAAATGGGACACCCCCTTACAGCCTGTCACAAAACAGCAGGGCCATGGCAGGTCCAACCAAGGACCTGCCAATTTGGCCCAAAGACTTGGAGGCAACATTTAAAAGATGGAAATTGTTACGGACAGAATGCTTGTGTGTCCCTCCCAAAATTCATAGATTGAAATCTTGTGATGGCGTTCAGAGGCAGGGCCTTTGGTAGGACATCGGCCATGAGGGCGGAGCTCTCGTGAATGGGACTCGTGCCCTCTTAAGAAGAGTCCTGAGAGGAGCTTGCTCTCTTTCCACAAGGAGCAGTCAGCAGCCTGCAGCCCCAGAAGAGAGCCCTCACTAGAACCCAACCCTGCTGGCGTCCTGATCGCAGACTTCCTGCCTCCAGCACTGTGAGACATAAACTTCTGTGTCTAAGCCACCCAGCATAGGGCACTGTGTTATAGCAGCCTGAACCAACTAAGACAGGAATACTTCAAATATAAATACAAATCTCCAGCTACTCTGGAAAATGCAGCAATTCTGGCAACACAGCATCCACGTTCCCACGCAGCCACAATCAGCTGGCTGAGCAACGGCTGCCCTTTGAGTGGGCAAAGGTGCCCCAGCCTGCCTCTGCCCAACCCGAATCTGAGGGTGCCCCCAGCATGGCTCCTTGCTTAGCTGCTTCTGGTGGTAGCAACATGTGCCTTTTACCCAGGCCTCTCTCAGAAGTGGGAAAATGATAAACAGACCCAGAGGGCCTCCTGTTTCAAGAAAAGGGAGCAAGAGCTCATTTGTAACTGGGGGAAAAAAGACAACACCTGCACACGCTCACTTTGTGCCCACCTGCCTGGCTCTGGAAACACGGTATGTCGCCGACCTCAAGGGCCCGCCATGCCCCTGACTAGTCAGGAAGGGGATCTCACAGGGGTGTGCTGGCTGCCCCTGAAGGGCCCCTACAGTGCACAAAGACACATCCAAGTTTGATGAGCACACTGTGGTTCCTGCCACCTCCACAGGGCCCTGCACCTCCCAAGATCCGACAAGAAAGGCAGCAACAGAGAAAAGTCCATCTCCAGCAAGGCAGGCATGGGGCAGGCTCCGGGGCGGGGTGGCAGGTCACAGCCCAGCCAGAAGGGCTTAGGGAAGGGGTGGAGGGGAGAGGAAGAGGATGGACAGATGTTTGTGGCCACGTTCACTCAGGCCAGTTGGTCCAGTTCAGCACCACCCCCTCCTGTCCGCACCAGCCTCTGTCCTGGGTTGGTGCTGAGCTGGGAGCACCCCCAGGGTGTGGGAGCCACAAGCCCAGTTCTGTCTCCCTCTCACACACTGCCCTCGGTCTCCCCACCCTCCTGGCTGCAGTCTAGTCCTCAAGCCCCCTTCAGCCACTGCTGGCGTCCAACGGGGCCTCAGCTCAGCCTATCAGAGACGCCGTGGGAATCACTTCCTATTCATGAGGCCAGAGTAGGGCGAGCGACCCTCATTTGTAAAAGAGAAGATGACTCTCAGGAGCTGACCTGGCCCTTGTCGAAGCAGACAGGGCTGGGTAGACATAGGATTGATTGCTCCTTTGCCAAGCGCCAGCCCCTTGGATGATGCCCACATCCCACTGGTAATCTTCTGGATCCCCCTTCTAATTGGCTGCCTGCACAACTGTAGCCCCTGAGCAGCCCACTGTGTCTTGTAAATATGTCCCAATGTTGCTCTATGGGGTTGGGGAGTGGGGGGCTTCTATGTGGCCCCCAGAGCACCTGGACCCTGGAGCTGAAGGAAGTACCAGGAGAAGGTACTGAGCTAGGCCTTGTCCACATCAGCCGACTGAGCCAGGGGATGCACCCAGCTGCCTGGACCACTCAGAAGCAGCCCCAGGCTAAAAGGGCTCCACCTCTTGCAGTGGAAAGTCCAGACTCAGGATCCTGGCATCCAGGGCCATCAAGCTCTGGCCCCTGCTGGGCACCCTCACCCTATCTCTGGGCACTCTCCCATGGGCACCCTCCTCGCCCCTGGAACTCTTTGCATATGCTGTTCCCTACACCCAGAATCCCTTCCCTCCTTCTTCCTGGACACTGTCTAGGGAGACTCC